>NC_000003.12:154614664-154917695 GCF_000001405.40 Homo sapiens
GTAAAAACACTTTTTGTCTGAGCAACTGCTCAGATACAGAGCATAGAGTATAAGTATTGTTCCAAGCAACGCACTTCTTGCAGAAACTGGAGGGAAGCCAAGAGAAAAATCAATCACAATTATTTTGAAATGAAGTTTCACAGTGTTCTCCTTACATTATTATCTATGAGTTTCCTAAGATCACTGACAATGTCTTACTCACTGTTGATTCCCTTGTCACCCAGAACTGTGTCCAGCAAATAATATGATGTAAATGTTTGTAAAATGTATAAATAAGTAATAAGTAAAATTGACATCCATGCCAGGAAATCCAAACATTTGTCCTTTCACTCATTAACTATATCTGATCTTTTTCTCTCATATAGTTTCAAATATGGAAATATCTGTCAAAATATCTGCCATGTCCTTTTTTTTTTTTTTTTTTTTTTTGAGACAGGGTTCTCACTTCGTCACCCAGGCTAAAGTATAGTGATGCAATCTCAGCTCACTGCAGCTTCCACCTCCCAGGCTCAAGTGATCCTCCCACCTCAGGCCCCCCAAGAAGTTGGGACTACAAGTGCGCATGCAACCATGCCTGGCTAATTTTTGTATTTTGGTAGAGACAGGGTTTTGCTATACTGCTCAGGCTGGTCTTGAACTCCTGAGCTCAAACGATCTGCCTACCTTGGCCTCCCAAAGTGCTAGGATTACAGGTGTGAGCCACTGTACCTGGCCTGTCATGTTCTTAATGCCTGAAGTCTTCATGATTTATATTAGTGTCCCACAAAGTAAACACTGGAATAAAAGATCTGTTCACAGGATGAATTTTAAATTTCAGATTTCAACCTCTGAAATCTGATATGGTGGCTGGCTGGTGGTGGACTTCATATTTTGGAGAAAAGATTAAGCAGGAGATCCCTACCAGCCCCCATTACTACCACAAACATCGACAGTCCTTCCTACAGGAGAATCCTGCAGTCCTCACAACCCCGGATCTCAGTTTGGAGAGCTGCCAGGAATTCACACAGCTGCACTGCCCTAGATGAGGAGCACAAAGTGCATACTTTCCATCCCACACCCACCGGTTGTGAGCCAAGCCACTGCAGCATGATACCATCTTAAGACAGACACCTCTGGAGTGCATCTTTCTTAGGGCAGTAGCCACTGCATCTTTCCAGCAATGGGGCTCCACCTTCATTATGCCAAGCCCAGGTTAGTGGCTGAACATCACAACCCCAACTGTGCAGAGACTGGGCCTGGAATCAGCTATGATTCTGGTCCTAAACAGCAGGAAAACCAACTTCTGCTACTCTCACTTCCAGCCAGAGGAAAAGTATGGCAGTCCCACCCAAGGCAAACTTACCCTCACCCTAGAGCTGGTCAAACCACTGTGCACCTTCCCCTAAGAGGCCTCTGAGTCTCCAAGCAGATGACATGCCACAAAGCCAGCAAAGAGCTATATGCCTGGGCTCAGGACCTGAGAAACAGTCCCATAGTGCCCCTGCCCCCTCTGCAAACATGCCCTGGTCTTCCCAATGGTTCTGCACCCCGAGTAAGGTCCTGAGAAACAGTCCTACAAGCCATCACCGGCAGGTATGCCCCTGGGCCAGCCAAGCAACCAAGAGCTCATGACCTGGATCAGAGAAACAATCCTGTGGTCTACCTACAGTGGGCACATCCCTGAGCTGGCCAAGTAACCTTGCACATGCATCCCAGACATGAAAAACATCCCTGTGGCCAACCCCAGTGGGTGTAAGCTTGAGGCAGTCAAGCAGATTGGTACCTATGTCCCAGACCTGAGAAACAGCTTTGTGGGCCACCCTCCAACAGGCACATCCTCGCAGGCTGGTCAAGCTGCTGTATGCCCAAGTCCCAAGTTCAAGAAAGAGCCCCATGGGCCCCCTCTGGTGGGCAAACCCGCAGCTAACCAAGCAGCTCTGTATCTACGTCCTGGGCCTATACAATAGCCCCATGGGCCACATTCGGCAGATATACCCCTAGGCCAGTTGAGCATCCCTGCACCTGCATACCAGGCCTGAAAACAGCCCTGCAGATTGCAATTGGTGTTCATACCCCATCACCAAGTCTAGCCAAGCAGCTTTAGCTCATGTCCTAGGCTTGAGAAACAGGCCTGTGGGCCGACCCTGACAGACACATTTCTAGGCTGGCCAGCAGCTATGTGCCCATATTCTGGGCCTGAGAAATAACCCTCTAGGTCGCTCCTACCAAATGTGTCCCCAGGGTAGTGTACCAACCATGTGCCCTTGCTCATGGCCACAGTAACATCCCCAGGGACTAAACCCTGGAGAGCCAGACCCCAAGTTGGCCTAACCACTGTGTGCACACATTCATCCCTGACCTGAAAAATAGCACAGTGAGTATACCTATGGCAAAGCCATACTATTATTGCCACAGTCTCTCTTATCCTAGGCCACTGAGAAATTCACAAATGCCAGTAATGTGGATTATAGCTGAAGAAACTACAGAGACTACACTACTATAGTAGGCCAGTGCACCCCACCAAACCAATACCCTAAGACCTATTCATACAAATAAGCATTTTCTAAAAAACCTGCTCCATGAAATTGAAAGAAGTCACTTTCCCACCAAATTCATAGATACTAACATATGGTGTGGTGACTACTCAAAGATCTAGAAGCAAAAATACCATTTGACCCAGCAATCCCATTACTGGAAATATAACCCCCAAAATATAAATTATTTTATTACAGAGACACATGCATGTGTATGTTCATTGCAGCACTATTCACAATAGCTATGACATAGAATCAACCTAATGATTCCATGTCAGCCCATCAGTGATAGACTGGGTAAAGAAATTGTGGTACCTATACACCATGACATACTATGCAGCTGTAAAAAGAAACAAGACCATGTCCTTTGCAGGGACATGGATGGAACTGGAAGCTGTTATCCTCAGCAAACTAACGCAAGAACAGAAAACCAAAATAATGAGAACATGTGGATACATGGAAAGGAAACAGCACACACTGGGGCCTTTCAGGGGATGTAGGGGTAGGGAGAGCATCAGGAAGAATAGCTAATGGTTGCTGGGCTTAATACCTAGGTGATGGGTTGATCTGTGCAGCAAACCACCATGGCACACGTTTACCTATATAACAAACCTGCACATCCTGCACATGTACCCCAGAACTTAAAATAGAAGTTGAACAAAAAAAAGAAAATAACATAGGGACACATCAACTATGAAAAAATGTCACCTCCAAAGAAAAACAATAATTCTCCAACAGACACTAATCATAAGGAAATATATAAAAAGCCAGAAAAATAATTTAAAATAATAACCTTCAGGAAAATCAGTGATATACAAGAGAACATGTGTACACAATTCAATGAAATCAGGAAAAAAATTATGATTTGAATGAGAAATTCAACAGAGATAGCTATCGTACAAAATAGTCAAACAGAAACCTAGAGCTAAGTAATTTAATGAATGAAATGAAAATACAATAAGAGCTTCAACAAACTAGACATAGCAGAAGAAAGAATTTTTGAACTTGAAGACAAGTCTTTTGAAATAACACAAGCAGACAAAAAAGATAAAAGAACACAAAGGAATGAAAAAAGCCTATGGGATTTATGGGACACCATTAAACACATTAAGTTGAGAAAGAAAGAAAGAAAGAAAGAAAGAAAGAAAGAAAGAAAGAAAGAAAGAAAGAAAGAAAGAGCAAGCAATTCACATTATTCACATTCCAGAAAGAGAAGAGAAGGAAAAGAGAAGAGAAGGAAAACATATTTAATAAAATCATAGCAGGAAGCCTCCCAAGTCTTGGGATAAAGAGAGGCCTCCATGTTTAGGAAGCGCAAAAACCTCAGATAGATTCAACCCAAACAGGCCAACAGCATGAAAACATGCAAAACTATAAAACTCACTGGTAGAGCTGATACACAAAAGAGAAAGAAAAATAAATAAATCCTACCACTACGGAAAACCACACAGCTGTAAAAATAAGCAATAACAGAGAAAATAGGGAAGAAAGGATATACAAAATAACCCAAAACAATCAATAAAATCACAGGAATAAGTCATTACCTATCAATAATAACCCTGAATTTAGATAGACTAAATTCCCATCTAAAAGATATGGACTGGCTGAATGAATATAAAAATCAGACCTGACTATATTCTGCATACGGGAACCTCACCTCACCTTAAAAGATACACAGACTGAAAGATAAGGGATGGAAAAGTATATTCCATACAAATAGAAACCAAAAACACGTGAGAACAGTTATATCAGACAAAACAGAATCCAAGTTAAAAGCAGTAAAAAGAGACAAAGAAATTATAAAGTAATAAAGGAATCAATCCAGCAAGAGAATATAACAATTGTAAATATATATGTACCCAACACCAGAGCACCCGATATATAAAGCAAATATTGGATCTACAGGGATAAATAACTGCCAATAAGATAATAGCTGAGGAATTCAACAGCCCACTCTCTGCATTGGACAGATCATTTAGATAGAAAATCAACAAGAAACATCAGATTTAAATTGCACATTATACAAAATGGATCTAACCAATTTACAAAACATTTCAACCAACAGCTGTCAAGTACACATGCTTTTCCTCAGCACGTAAGAATTTTCATCAGCACATCAGCAATTTTCCAGAACTGACTGTATGTTAGAATATGAAACAATATTCAATAAATTTTTAAAAATTGGAATTAAACCGAGCAGTTCCAAGATGGTCGAATAGGAACAGCTCCAGTCTACAGCTCCCAGTGTGAGCAATGCAGAAGATGGATGATTTCTGCATTTCCAACTGAGGTACCAGGTTCATCTCACTGGGCTTGTTGGACAGTGGGGGCAGGACAGTGGGTGCAATCAACTGAGTGTGAGCCGAAGCAGGGCGAGGCATCGCCTCACCCGGGAAGTGCAAGGGGTCAGGGAATTCCCTTTCCTAGCCAAGGGAAGTGGTGACAGATGGCACCTGGAAAATCGGGTCACTCCCACCCTAATACTGCGCTTTCCCAACGGTCTTAGCAAACGGCACACCAGGAGATTATATCCGGCTCCTGGCTCGGAGGGTGCCACACCCATGGAGCCTCACTCATTGCTAGCACAGCAGTCTGAGATAGAACTGCAAGTTGGCAGCGAGGCTGGGGGAGGGGCGCCCGCCATTGCTGAGGCTTAAGTAGGTAAAAAAAGTGGCTGGGAAGCTTGAACTGGGTGGAGCCCACCGCAGCTCAAGGAGGCCTGCCTGCCTCTGTAGACTCCACCTCTGGGGGCAGGGCATAGCCAAACAAAAGGCAGCAGAAACCTTTGCAGACTTAAATGTCCCTGTATGACAGCTTTGAAGACTCTCAGCACAGAGTTTGAGATCTGAGAGTGGACAGACTGCCTCCTCAAGTGGGTCCCTGATCCCCGAGTAGCCTAACTGGGAGACACCCCCAAGTAGGGGCAGACTGACACCTCACACAGCCAGGTACCCCTCTGAGACAAAGCTTCCAGAGGAAGGATCAGGCAGAAACATTTGCTGTTCAGCAATATTTGCTGTTCAGCAATATTTGCTGTTCTGCAGCCTCCACTGCTGATACCCAGGCAAACAGGGTCTGGAGTGGATCTCCAGCAAACTCCAACAGACCTGCAGCTGAGAGTCCTGACTATTAGAAGGAAACTAACAAACAGAAAGGACATCCACACCAAAACCCCATCTGTACGTCACCATCATCAAAGACCAAAGGTAGATAAAACCACAAACATGGGGAAAAAACAGAGCAGAAAAGCTGAAAATTCTAAAAATCAGAGCACCTCTCCCCCTCCAAAGGAACGCAGCTCCTCGCCAGCAATGGAGCAAAGCTGGATGGAGGATGACTTTGACGAGTTGAGAGAAGAAGGCTTCAAGACGATCAAACTTCTCCGAGCTAAAGGAGGAAGTTTGAACCCATCGCAAAGAAGCTAAAAACTTTGAAAAAAAATTAGACAAATGGCTAACTAGAATAACCAGTGTAGAGAAGTCCTTAAATGAACTGACGGAGCTGAAAAGCAAGGCATGAGAAATACGCAACGAATGCACAAGCTTCAGTAGCCGAATCGATCAACTGGAAGAAAGGGTACCAGTGATTGAAGATCAAACGAATGAAATGAAGTGAGAAGAGAAGTTTAGAGAAAAAAGAGTAAAAAGAAATGAACAAAGCCTCCAAGAAATATGGGACTATGTGAAAAGACCGAATCTACATCTGAGTGGTGTCCCTGAAAGTGACAGGGAGAATGGAACCAAGTTGGAAAACACTCTGCAGGATATTACCCAGGAGAATTACCCCAACATAGCAAGGCAGGCCAATATTCAAATTCAGGAAATACAGAGAATGCCACAAAGATACTCCTCAAGAAGATCAACTCCAAGACACATAATTGTCAGATTCACCAAAGTTGAAATGGAGGAAAAAATGTTAATGGCAACCAGAGAGAAAGGTCGGGTTACCCACAAAGGGAAGCCCATCAGACTAACAGCAGAACTCTCGGCAGAAACTCTACAAGCCAGAAGAGAGTGGGGGCCAATATTCAACATTCTTAAAGAAAAGAATTTTCAACCCAGAATTTCATATCCAGCCAAACTAAGCTTCATAAGTGAAGGAGAAATAGAATCCTTTACAGACAAGCAAATGCTGAGAGATTTTGTCACCACCAGACCTGCCCTAAAAGAGCTCCTGAAGGAAACACTAAACATGGAAAGGAACAACCAGTACCAGCCACTGCAAAAACACGCCAAATTGTAAAGACCATCGAGGCTAGGAAGAAACTGCATCAACTAATGAGCAAAATCACCAGCTAACATCATAATGACAGGATCAAATTCACACATAACAATATTAACCTTAAATGTAAATGGGCTAAATGCTCCAATTAAAACACACAGACTGGCAAATTGGATAAAGACTCAAGACCCATCAGTGTGTTGTATTCAGGAGACCCATCTCATGTGCCGAGACACACCTAGGCTCAAAATAAAGGGATGGAGGAAGATCCACCAAGCAAACAGAAAACAAAACAAGGCAGGGGTTGCAATCCTAGTCTCTGATAAAACAGACTTTAAACCAACAAAGATCAAAAGAGACAAAGAAGGCCATTACATAATGGTAAAGGGATCAATTCAACAAGAAGAGCTAACTATCCTAAATATATATGCACCCAATACAGGAGCACCCAGATTCATAAAGCAAGTCCTTACAGACCTGCAAAGAGACTTAGACTCCCACACAACAATAATGGGAGACTTTAACACCCCAGTGTCAACATTAGACAGAACAACAAGACAGAAAGTTAACAAGGATATCCAGGAATTGAACTCAGTTCTGCACTGAGTGGACCTAATAGACATCTACAGAACTCTCCACCCCAAATCAACAGAATACACATTCTTCTCAGCACGACATCACACTTATTCCAAAATTGACCATATAGTTGGAAGTAAAGCACTCCTCAGCAAATGTAAAAGAAAAGAAATTATAACAAACTGTCTCTCAGACCACAGTGCAATCAAACTAGAACTCAGAATTAAGAAACTCACTCAAAACCGCTCAACTACATGGAAACAACAACCTGCTCCTGAATGACTACTGGGTACATAATGAAATGAAGTCAGAAATAAAGATGTTCTTTGAAACCAATGAGAACAAAGACACAACATACCAGAATCTCTGGGACACATTTAAAGCAGTGTGTAGAGGGAAATTTATAGCACTAAATGCCCACGAGAGAAAGCAGGAAAGATCTCAAATTGACACCCTAACATCAGAATGAAAAGAACTAGAGAAGCAAGAGCAAACACATTCAAAAGCTAGCAGAAGACAAGAAATAACTAAGATCAGAGCAGAATTGAAGGAGACAGAGACACAAAGAACCGTTCAAAAAATCAATGAATCCAGGAGCTGGCTTTTTGAAAAGATCAACAAAATTGATAGACCGCTAGCAAGACTAATAAAAAAGAAAAGAGAGAAGAATCAAATAGACGTAATAAAAAATGTTAAAGGGGATATCACCACCGATCCCACAGAAATACAAACTACCATCAGAGAACACTATAAACACCTCTATGCAAATAAACTAGAAAATCTAGAAGAAATGGATAAACTACTGGACATATACACCCTCCCAAGACTAAACCAGGGAGAAGTTGAATCCCTGAATAAACCAATAAAAGGCTCTGAAATTGAGGCAATAATTAATAGCCTACCAACCAAAAAAAAGCCGAGGACCAGACGGATTCACAGCCGAATTCTACCAGAAGTACAAGGAGGAGCTGATACCATTCCTTCTGAAACTATTCCAATCAATAGAAAAAAAGCGAATCCTCCCTAACTCGTTTTATGAGGCCAGCATCATCCTGATACCAAAGCCTGGCAGAGACACAACAAAAAAGAGAATTTTAGACTAATATCCCTGATGAACATTGATGCAAAAATTCTCAATAAAATACTGGCAAACCAAATCCAGCAGCACATCAAAAAGCTTATCCATCATGATCAAGTGGGTTTCATCCCTGGGATGCAAGGCTGGTTCAACATATGCAAATCAATAAATGTAATCCAGCATATAAAGAGAACCAAAGACAAAAACCACATGATTATCTCAATAGATGCAGAAAAGGCCTTTGACAAAATTCAACAACCCTTCATGTTAAAAACTCTCAATAAATTAGTTATTGATGGGACATATCTCAAAATAATAAGAGTTATTTATGACAAACCCACAGCCAATATCATACTGAATGGGCAAAAACTGGAAACATTCCCTTTGAAAACTGGCACAAGACAGGGATGCCCTCTCTCACCACTCCTATTCAACATAGTGTTGGAAGTTCCGGCCAGGGCAATCAGGCAGGAGAAGGAAATAAAGGGTATTCAATTAGGAAAATAGGAAGTCAAATTGTCCCTGTTTGCAGATGACATGATTGTATATCTAGAAAACCCCATCGTCTCAGCTCAAAATCTCCTTAAGCTGATAAGCAACTTCAGCAAAGTCTCAGGATGCAAAATCAATGTGCAAAAATCACAAGCATTCTTATACACCAATAACAGACAAACAGAGAGCCAAATCATGAGTGAACTCCCATTCACAATTGCTTCAAAGAGAATAAAATACCTAGGAATCCAACTTACAAGGGATGTGAAGGACGTCTTCAGGGAGAACTACAAACCACTGCTCAACAAAATAAAAGAGAACACATCCCTTCCTTACACATGATACAAAAATTAATTCAAGATGGATTAAAGACTTAAATGTTAGACCTAAAACCATAAAAACCCTAGAAGAAAACCTAGGCAATACCATTCAGGACATAGGCATGGGCAAGGACTTCATGTCTAAAACACCAAAAGCAATGGCAACAAAAGCCAAAATTGACAAATGGGATCTAATTAAACTAAAGAGCTTCTGCACAGCAAAATAAACTACCATCAGTGTAAACAGGCAACCTACAGAATGGGAGAAAATTTTTGCAATCTACTCATCTGACAAAGGGCTAATATCCAAAATCCACAAAAAACTCAAACAAAGTTACAAGAAAAAAAAACAACCCCATCAAAAAGTGGGTGAAGGATAAGAACTGACTCTTCTCAAAAGAAGACATTTATGCAGCCAAAAAACACATGAAAAAAATGCTCATCATCACTGGCCATCAGAGAAATGCAATTCAAAACCACAATGAGATACCATCTCACACCAGTTAGAATGGCAATCATTAAAAAGTCAGGAAACAACAGGTGCTGGAGAGGATGTGGAGAGATAGGAACACTTTTACACTGTTGGTGGGACTGTAAACTAGTTCAACCATTGTGAAAGACAGTGTGACAATTCCTCAAGGATCTAGAACTAGAAATACCATTTGACCTAGACATCCCATTACTGGGTATATACCCAAAGGATTATAAATCATGCTGCTATAAAGACACATACACACATATTTTTATTGCAGCATTATTCACAATAGCGAAGACTTGGAAGCAACCCAAATGTACATCAATGGTAGACTGGATTAAGGAAATGTGGAACATATACACCATGGAATATTATGCAGCCATAAAAAAGGATGAGTTCATATCCTTTTACAGACATGGATGAAGCTGGAAACCATCATTCTCAGCAAACTATCACAAGGACAAAAAACCAAACACCACATGTTCTCAGCCATAGGTGGGAATTGAACAATGAGAACACTTGGACACAGGAAGGGAAACATCACACACTGGGGCCTGTTGTGGGGTGGTAGGAGTGGGGAGGGATAGCGTTAGGTGATATACCTAATGTAAATGACGAGTTAATGGGTGCAGCACACCAACATGGCACATGTATACATATGTAACAAATCTCCACATTGTGCACATGTACCCTAGAACTTAAAGTATAATAATAATAAAGGAATCAATTAAAAAAAAGAAATTAAATCAAGTATCTTATCTGACCACAAAGGAATACAACTAGATATCAATAACAAGAGGAACATTCAAAACTATACACATATATGGAAAGTAAATTATATGCTCCTGAATGATCAATGGATGAAGGAAGAAATTAAGAATAATGTTAAAAGATATCTTGAAACAAATAAAAATGGAAACATAGCATACGAAAACCTGTGAGACACAGAAAAAGGAGTATTAAGAGGCAATTTTATGGCATTAAATGCCGACATCAAAATACTGGAAAGATTTTAAATAAATAACGTAACAATACATTTCAAGGAACTAGAAAAGCAAGAATAAAACAAACCCCAAATTAGTAGAAGGAAAGAAATAGTAAAGATTGGAGCAGAAATAAATGAAATTGAGACTAAAACATGATACTAAAGATCAACAAAACAAAAAGCTGTTGTTTTATAAAACTGATAAGCAAAATTCACAAACTAAAGAAAATTGACAAACAGTTAGCTACACTAAGTAAAAAAGAAAGAGGACACCCAAATAAATAAAGTCAGAAATGAAAAAGGAGATTTTTTTAATTTCTGACTTTATTTGGGGTTTTTTCATTTCTGACTATTTATTTGGATGTTCTCTTTCTTTTTTACTTAGATACCACGAAAATATAAAGAATCTTTAGAGACTGCTATGGAAAACTATACACCATTAACCTTAAAAACCTAGAGGAAATGGATAAATGAGAGGACACATACTATCACCAAGATTGAACCAGGAAGAAATAGAAAATCTGAACAGGCCAACAACGAGTAATGAGATGGAATCAGTAACAAAAATTCTTCCAGTAAAGAAAAGTTCGTGACTGGATAGCTTCACTGCTGAATTCTGCCAAACACTGAAGGAAGAATTAATATCAATTCATCTGAAACTATTCCAAAAAACTGAAGCAGAGGGTGTTCCTTCAAATTCATTCCACAAGGCCAGCATAACTCTGACACCAAAAGCAGTAAAGATATAACAACGAAAGAAAACTACAGGCAAGATCCCTGGTGAAAACAGACATAAAGATTCTCAACAAAATATAAGCAAACTGAATCCAAGGAAATATCAGAAAGAAAATACACTATCCCAATAATGTATTTATTGTATAAATCCCAGTAATCCCAAGTGGGATTTATTCCAATAATACGAGAATGATTCAACATATGAAAATCAACTAAAGTCATATATCACATCAATAGACTGAAGGGTAGAAACCATATGACTATCTCAATAAATTCAGAAAAAGCATTGATAAAATTCAGCAACATTTCATGATAAAAACTCTTAATAAACTAGGTACAGAAAGAAAATATTTCAACATAATAAAGGCCATATATGACGAATCTACCATTAACATATTACTGATCAACGATAGCTGAATGTCTTTTCTCTAAGAACTGGAACAAGACAAAGATGTCCACTCTCACCACTTAGTCAACATAGTACTAAATGTCCTACCCCGAGAAATTAGGCAAGAGAAAGAAATAAAGGACATCCAAATTGGAAAGGAGGAAGCAAAATTGTCCCCGTTTTCACAGGACATTATCTTATATAGAGAAAACCAAAAGATTCTACAACAAAACTCTTAGAACTGCTAAACAAATTCAGAAAGTAGCAGGATACAAAATTAATATACAAAAATCAGCAGCATTTCCATACATGAGCAACAAACTAGCTGAAAATGAAATCAATAAGACAATCCCATTTAAAATATCTACCAAAAAAACCAAAATACCTAGGAATAAATTTAACCAAGGAGGTGAAAAACATCTAAAAGTAAAACTACAAAACACTGGTGAAAGAAACTGAAGGGGATACAAACAAATGGAAAGACATCCCATGGTGATAGATTGGAAGAATTAATAGTGTTAAAATGACAATACTACCCAAAGCAATCTATGAATACAATGAAATCACTGCCAAAATACCAATGACATTTTTCACAGAAACAGAAAAAACAATCTCAAAATTTATATGGAACCACAGAAGACACTAAGTAGCTTAAAGTGATTCCAAGCAAAAAGAACAAAGCTGTAGGTATCACACTATCAGACCTCAAAATATATTACAAAGCTGTAGTAACCAAATCAGTGTGGTACTGGCATAAATATATAGACACAGACAAATGAAAAAAATAGAGAACCCAGAAATTAATTCACCTATCTACAGCCAACTTGTTTTTGACAAAGTTGCCAAGACACTCATTGAGGAAAGGACAGTCTCTTCAATAAAAGGTGCTGGAAAACAGGATATCCATATGCAGAAGAGTGAAACTAGACTCCGTACCTCTCGTCCTATACAAAAATCAACTCAAATTGGATCAAGAACATAAATGTAATACCTGAAAGAATAAAACTACTAAAAGAAAAGATAGGGAAAATGCTTTGGGACATTGGTCTGGAAAAATATTTTATATATAAGCCCTTAAAAGCACATGCAACAGAAGCAGAAACATGCAAATGAGATTATATAAAACTAAAAAGTTTCTGAACAGCAAAGGAAGCAAACAAAAGAGAAAAAAAGACAAACTACAGAACAGAATGAAGTATTTGCAACTACTCATCTGACAGATTAATATCAAGAATATACAAAGAACTCACACATCTCAACAGCAGAAAAACAAACAATTCAATTAAAAATAGGCAAATTATCTGAAAATATATTTCTCAAAGAAGACATATAAATAGCTAACAAATATCTATAAAAATTATTAACATCACTAACCATCGGGGAATGCAAATAAAAATCACTATGAGGTATCATCTCACCCCAGTTACTCTGGCTATTATCAAAAAGATCAAAAATAATAAATGCTGACAAGGATGTGGAGAAAAGGGAACTCTTAAACACTGTTGGTGGGAAATGTAAACTAGTAAAGCTACTATGAAGAACAGTATAAGGGGGTCCCACAAAAAACTACAAATAGAGGCTGGGCATGATGGCTCACTCCTGTAATCCCAGCACTTTGGGAGGCTGAGGCAGATGGATTGCTTGAGCTCAGGAGTTCAAGACCAGCCTGACCAACATGGTGAAAAAAAAAACAAAAAACAAAACAAAAAAAAAACGATAAATAGAACTCCCTTATGATCCAGCAGTCCCACTATTGGACTATTGGAAATTTATCCAAAGAGAGAGAAATCATTATATTGAAGAGACATCTATATCCTCATGTTTATTGCAGCACTATCAATAATTGTCAAAATACGGAATCAACCTAAGTCTCCAACAATAGATGAACAGATTAAAAAAACATGTGTTGTGTACACACCATGGAATACTATTCACTCATAATAAAAGAGCGATATCCTATCATTCAGGGCAATCTGGATGGAACTGGAGGATATTATTTGGATGAAAAAAGGTTGAACACTGCAGTTCTCACTCATATATTGAGGCTGAAGAAAGTTGATTTCATAGAAGTAAAAACTAGAAAAAAGGGCACTAGAGATTAGGAAGGGTAGGGGAAAGAGGGAGATAGGGATAGATTTGTTAAAGAACACAAAATTACAGCTAGATAAGAGGAATGAGTTCTAGTGTTCTATATCACTGTAAAATGACTACTGTTAACATTAATATAATTTCAAATAGCTACAAGGAGGATATTGAATGTTCTTAACACAAAGAAATGATAAATGTTTGAGATGACAGACCTGCTAATTACTCTGATTTGATCACTATATATTATATGTATTGAAACATCACTATGTACCAAATGACTATGTACAATTATTTGTCAATTTAAAACATAAAATAAAATTAAGAAAAGAAAAATTTTGGTCAATAAAATTATCTCTGTACAGGAAATGCCAACTTGTAAGAGTCAAGAAACAATATGTTTTGATAAATAGAATTTCATATGGGGATTTCTCATGTTTGAGGAAATCGAATACAATAAAATACACTTAGAACTTAAGTGGGAAGAAATTAACCTTTTGATGACTAAGAAAGCTGTTTTGATTTCTGCAGTCCTTCAGGATCCTGAGACATCAGTTCATTACCATTTTATTTATATATGCATATAGAAAGTGTAGGAGGTTAAAGTGAATCTGTAATAATCCAGTGACATAACCCCCCCCCACACACAAAAATTCTGCTTTTAAAACAAACACTGCCATAAGCTGTTTACTGACTGTTTTTCCTCTGGAAATATATAACTGCTTAACCTTTATCCTATCTTTTTATTTATTTATTTATTTTGAGACCCAGTCTCGCTCTGTCGCCCAGGCTGGAGTGTGGTGGCCTGATCTCAACTCACTGCAACCTCTGCCTCCCGGGTTCAAGCGGTTCTCCTGCCTCAGCCTCCCGAGTAGCTGGGACTACAGGTGCATGCCACCATGATGCCACCTAATTTTTTGTATTTTTAGTAGAGATGGGGTTTCACCGTGTTAGCCAGGATGGTCCTGATCTCCTGACCTCGTGATCTGCCTGCCTCGGCCTCCCAAAGTGCTGGAGTTACAGGCATGAGCCACCGTATCCTATCTATTGAAATATCTTCCTAGTTGATAGATTTCTGAATAAGCTTGGATCATAAAACAAAGACTACATTATTATAGTGTTCCATGCTTCCCATCTTCCACCCTAAAAATATAGAGACTGAGGACATGATACTATGGGGAAAAGATGTGGAAATATTATATCTGAACAGTGAGCAAAATGAATATTTAGCAAAATTTAGAATGGAAGATAACTTATTAATAAAACCAACATCTTCAGGTGGGTTAATATGAAGCATCAAGTGAAAGGACAGCTACTCAGTATAGCACATTGTTTCCAATGTATACTTTAATTTGTTGTTGGAGGATAAGGATGAGCTCATTACAGCAGAACTTTATAGATAGTGACCCTGTCACCTGGGTTAAGAAACTGTCTATCCTGAGAGTTTTTGCATTTGTCTCTCTTTGGAGTTTCAGGAGCATTGCTGGCCCTAAAATGTATTTTGTACTAGACTCATAAATTTCACTGATCAGATAAATGCTGTACATATGAACCCAGGGCTGTGATGGCTAATTTTCATGGGTGATGTTTTCATTTGATCTCTGAAATTTGTTTTTTCAAATTTTACTTTAGATTTAGAGGGTAGATGTGCAGTTTTGTTACATGGGTATGTAGCTTGATGCTAAGACTTGGGGTATGACTGATCCCATCACACAGGTAGTGAGCATATAGTACCCAATATGTACTTAAAACCCTTCCCTTCCTCCCTTCCCCTTCTTGTGTTCCCCAGTGTCTTTTATTCTCATATTTATATCCACGTGTACCCAATGTTTAGCACTCTTATAAGTGAGAACATGCTATATTTGGTTTTCTGTTTCTACATTAATTCATTTAGGATAATGGCCTCCAGCTGCATCCATGTTGCTGCAAAGGACATGATTTCATTCTTTTTATGGCTGCATAATATTCTATAGAGTATATGTATTATATTTTCTTTATCTAATGCACCATTGATGAGCATCTAGGTTGATCATATGTCTTTTGTACTGTGAATAGTGTTGCTATGAAAATATAAGTGTCTGTGTCTTTTTGGTAGGATGATTTATTTCCCTTTGAGTATATACTCAGTAATGGAATTGCTGGGTCGAATGATAGTTCTATTTTTCGTTCTTTGAAAAATCTCCAAACTGCTTTCCACAGTGCCTGAACTAATTTACATTCTTTTTTTATTATTATTATTATCTTTAAGTTTTAGGGTACATGTGCACAACGTGCAGGTTAGTTACATGTGTATACATGTGTCATGCTGGTGTGCTGCACCCATTAACTCGTCATTTAGCATTAGGTATATCTCCTAATGCTATCCCTCCCCTCTCCCCCCACCTCACAACCTTACTAACTTACATTCTTACCAGCAGTGTATAAGTATTCCCTTTTCTCCACAACCTCATCAGCACCTGTTATTTTTTGACTTTTTAATAATCACCATTCTGACTGTTGTGAGCTGGTTTCTCATTGTGGTTTTGATTTGCATTTCTTTGATAATTAGTGATGATGATCATGTTTTTATATGTTTGTCGGCCATTTGTATATCTTCTTTTGAGAAGGGTCTGTTCATGCATTTTGCCCACTTTTTAATTGGGTTGTTTGTTTTTTGTTTGTTCACTTAAGGTCCTTATAGATTTTTGATATTAGACATTACTTGGATGCATAGTTTGTGAATATTTTCTCTCATTCTCTGGGTTGTCTGTTTACTCTGTTCATAGTTTATTTTGCAGCACAGAAGCTCTTTATTCAGGTACCACTTGTCAATTTTTGTTTTCATTGCAGTTGTTTCTGAGGACTTAGTCATAAATTATTTGGCAAGGCTGATATCTAGAAGGGTATTTCATATGTTTTCTTCTAGGATGTTATATGTTGAGATCTTACATTTAAGTCTTTAACCCACTTCTTTTTTCCATATTAATCTTCTCTGCTTATTTCCATAACCATTAATACATTCTCATACTCTATATGAATGTGTGTAGATATATAGCCATATAATTATATACTATATTATACATCATATAATATGCATATGTCCTTTTTTATTGTCTTTCTTCATTCACCAGAATTTAAGCTCTATGAAGGCAAGGATATTTTTCTATTGCAATCACTGCTGAACTTCAGCTTCTAGAATTTTGTGGATGATCAATAAACATTTGTTGAATGAATGAATTCAGATGGTATTTTCTTGTACTGGTTATCAAGCTAGATATTTTTTCACTCCTAAGAAAAATAAGCTACCTCTTTAGGGCCTTGCTTATATTTTAAAGTTTTTTTAATTTTAATTTTTTTGAATACATAGTAGGTGTATATATTTATGGGGTATATGAGCTATATTAATACAGGCATGCAATATGTAATAATCACATCATGGAGAATGGGGTATCCATCCTCTCCAGCATTTATCCTTTGAGTTGCAAACAATTCAATTACGCTCTTTTAGTTAAGTGTACAATTAAGTTATTGACAATAGTCACCCTGTTGTGCTATCAAATAGTAGTTCTTATTCATTCTTTCTATTTTTTGTATCCATTAACCATCCCTACTTAACCACTCCTCCCTACTACCCTTCCTAGCCTCTAGCAACCATCCTTTTACTCTTTATGTCCATGAGTTCAATTGTTTTTATTTTTAGATCCCCCAAAAAAGTGAGAACATGTAATGTTTGTCTTTCTGTGCCCCGCTTATTTCACTTAACATAATGATCTCCAGTTCCATCCATGTTGTTGCAAATGACAGAACTTCACTCTTTTTTTATGAATGAATAGTACTCCATCATGCATATGTACCACATTTTCTTTACCCATTAATCTGTTGATGGACACGTGGGTTGCTTCCAAATCTTAGCTATTGCGAAAGTGCTGCAACAAACATAGGAGTGCAGATATGTCTTTGATATACAGATTTCCTTCCTTTTGGGTATATACCTAGCAATGGGATTGCTGGATCATATGGTAGCTCTATTTTTAGTTTTTTGAGGAATCTCCAGACTGTTCTCCATAGTGGTTGTACTAATTAGTGTATAAGGGTTCCCTTTTCTCCACATCCTCACCAGCATGTGTTATTGCATGTCTTTTGATATAAGTCATTTTAACTAGGGTGAGATGATATTTAACTGTAGTTTTGATTTGTGTTTCTCTAATGATCAATGATGTTGAGCATTTTTTGATATAACTGTTTGCCACTTGTATATCTTTCTTTAAAGAAATGTCTATTTAAATCTTTTGCCTATTTTAAATCAGCCACCACAGCTGGGAATGTTCTGAGTCTCATCTTAAGCCAGTAAGACTCAGAGGCTCACCCAATGCCCTTGATGTAGTACCTGGGTATCACTGCTAGTTATTCAGGGACTAAGGGCTCTTCATTTAACAGGTGATGAATGTTGCCAGAACTGGGTCCTTCCCTTCAAGGTAGTGGCTTCCTTTCTAGCCCAAGGTTTGTCTAGAAATGTCACCCAGGAGCTAGGGGCTAGAATGGGGGCCTCACTACTCTGATGGGTGCCCTATCCTGGCTGTGGTTGAGCTGGTATCCAAGATGCAAGACAAAATCCTCCCCATTCTTCCATTTCCTCTTCTCAAGTGAAAGGAAGTGGTCTCTTTTGGAGCTATGACCTGTGCAGCCTGGGGTTAGGGGAGGTGTGATGTCAGCACCCCTTAGCCACCTCAGCTGGTGTCTCAGTCTGTTGTGTGTTCCCCCAGTCCACTGTCTTTGGGCCCAGTTCAGCACTAGGACCTGCCTAAGAGTTGTAGCTCTTGTGGCCTAGACTGCCTTTCAAGTTTACTTAGAGATTTGGAGCACTTTAACTCTTGGTGGTGAGGCTTGTGTAAGCTCATTTTCAGACCACTGAGATCGGCAGTTCCCCTCCGCTAGGGCTGGTCCAAATGCTCCCTCCACGGGTAGGCATCAGCTGAGTTTGGTCCAGTCTTTCTTTCTGGCTCTATCAGGACAGCACAGAGTTCAGCACCTCATAATTGCTGTGTGCTCCCTCCCCGAGCACACAGAAATGCTTTCCATACCACACCACCACGGCAAGGGGATGGGGGAGGGGTTGCATCACGAATTAAAGACTGTTCTTTCTGTCTCTTTAGTGCATCTTTCAGTGATGTAAAGTTAAAATCAGGTACTAGTAGAGCTCACTTGATTTTTTGTTCTCATGAAGGTGCTTTTTGCATGTTGATGGTTGTTAAATTGGTGTCCTTGTGTGTGGGATGATCAGTGGAGCCTTCTATTCTGCCATTTTTCTCCACTTCCCTCTTAACCATCTTGAGTTAACTGTTGTATACATTGATAGGCAGGGGTCCGGTTTCATTCTTCTGCATATGGATAGACAGTTATCCCAGCACCATTTATTGAATAGGATGTCCTTTTTCCATTGCTTATTTTTATTGACTTTTTTGAAAGTCAGTTGATTGCAGGTATGCAGCTTTATTTCTGGGTTCTCTATTCTGTTCCATTTGTCTATGTGTCTGTTTGTATAACAGTACCATGCTGTTTTAGTTACTGTAGTCTTATAGTATTGTTGGAAGTTGGGTAATTTGATGCCTCTGGCTTTTTTCTTTTTGTTCAGCATACTTTGGCTATTTAGGCTTTTTTTTTCTTTCCATATGAGTTTTAGAATAGTTTTTTCTGATACTGTAAGAAATTACTTGATACTTTGATAGGAATAGCATTGAATTTGTAAATTTCTTTTGGCAGTATGGCCATTTTAACTATATTGATTCTCCCAATCCATGAGCAAAGAATGTTTTTCCACTTATTTGTATCACCTATGTTTTTTTCAGCAGTGTTTTGAAGTTCTCCTTGTAGAGCTATTCCATGTCCTTGAATAGATATATTCCTAGGTATTAATATTTTTGTGGCTATTTTAATAGGATTGTGTTCTTGATTTGGCTCTCGGCTTTAACATTACTGGTGTATAGAAATGCAACTATTTTTTGTACATTGATTTTTATTCTGAAACTTTGCTGAAGTCATTTATCAGTTCTAAGAGACTTTTGGCAGAGTCTTCAGGATTTTCCAGGTATAGAATGATATCATCAGCAAAGAGAGATAATTTGACTTCTTCTTTTCCTATTCAGAGGCCTTTAATTTCTTTCTCTTGCCTAATTGCTCTGGCTAGGGCTTTCAACACTATGTTGAATAGGAGTGATGAGAGTGGGCATCCTCGTCTTGTTCCACTTCTTATGGGGAATGTTTCCAGCTTTTACCCACTCAGTGTGATGTTGGCGGTGGGTTTGTCATAGATGGCTCTTATTATTTTGAGGTATGTTCCTTCAATGCCTAGTTTCCTGAGAGTTTTTATCATGAACAGATGTTAGATTTTATCAAAAGCTTTTTCTGCATCTCTTGAGATGATCATAAGGTTTTTGTTTTTAATTCTTTTTATGTAGTGAATCACATTTATTTACTTGCATATGTTGAACCAGCCTTGCATCCCAAAAATAAATTCTACTGTGTTGTCATGAATTAACTTCTTAATATGCTGCTGGATTTGCTTTGTTTATATATTGTTGAGGATTTTTTCATCTATGTTCATCAGGGATATTGTCCTGTAGTTTCTTTTTTCATTGTGTTTTGCCAGATTTTGGTATTAGAGTGATGCTGATTTCATAGAATAAATTAGAGAGGAGTCCCTCCACCTCAAATTTTTAGAATAGTTTCAATAGGGATGGTACTAATTCTTCTTTGTACATCAGGTACAGATTGGCTGTGAATCCATGTAGTGCAGGGTTTGTTTTTTGTTTGGCAGATTTTTTATTACTGTTTCCATTTTGGAACTCATTATTTGTCTGTTCAGAATTTCAATTTCTTCTTCATTTAATTTTGGGAGATTGTGTGTTCCCAGGAATTCATCCATTTCCTCAAGATTTTCTAGTTTGTTTGCATATAAGTGTTCCTAATTGTCTCTTAGGATCTTTTGTATTTCTGTGTGATTGGTTGTAATGTCACCTTTGTCATTTCTGATTGTGCTTATTTGAATCTTCTCTCTTCTTTGTTAATCTAGCTAGAAATCTGTTGCCGTAGTTTTTCCTTTCAAAGCAGCAACTTTTCACTTTGTTGATCCTTTGTATAGATGTTTTGTTATTTCTTTTCTTCCACTAAATTTGGGGTTAGTTCATTCTTGTTTATCTAGTTCCTCTAGGTGCAGTGTTAGATTCTTAACCTCAGACCTGTATAAATGTTTTGTTATTTCTTTTCTTCCAGTAACTTTGGGGTTAGTTCATTCTTGTTTATCTAGTTCCTCTAGGTACAGTGTTAGATTCTTAACCTCAGATCTTTCTAGCTTCTTGGTGTAGGCATTTAGCAGTAGAAACTTTCCCCTTAACACTGCCTTTGCTGTATCCTAGATATGTTGGTATGTTCTCTCTCTGTTTTCATTTATTTCAAAGATTTTTTTGATTTCTGCCCTAATTTTGTTGTTACCTAAAAATCATTAAAGGGCAAGTTGTTTAATTTCCATGTAATTGTGTGGTTTTGAGAGATCCTCTTGGTATTGATTTCTGTTTTTACTGTATTATGGTCCAAGAGTATGGTTGGTATAATTTTGTTTTTTAAAAATTGTTTGAGACTTGCTTTATGAATGAACATGTGGTTGATCTTACAGTATGTTCCATATGCACATAAGAAAAAAGTATATTATATTATTGTTGGGTGGTGTATTCTGTAGACAACTATTGGATTTAAGTACAGAATTTTTTTGTTGGTTTTCTGCCTTGATGATCTGTTTAACACTGTCAGTAGGGTGTTGAAGTCCCCCACTATTATTGTCTGGCTGTCTAAGTCTTTTCATAGGACTAGCATTACTTGTTTTATAAATGAGTGCTCCACAGTTAGGTGCATATATATTTAGAATAGTTAGGTCTTTTTGTTGAATTAAACTCTTTATTATTATGTAATGACCTTCTTTGTCCTTTTTTACTGAAATTGGTTTAAAGTTTAGTTTTTTTCTGATACAAGAATAGTGACTATTTGCATGTTTTCCATTTGCATGCCAGATCTTTCTCCATCCCTTTACTTCAAGCCTATGGGCATTGTTACATGTGAGATGGGTCTTTAGAAGACAATTTACATTCAAGGTTAATACTGATATGTTAAGTTTGATCCTGTTGTGGTGTTGTTAGCTGGTTCCTTTATAGTCTCCATTGTGTAGTTGCATTACAGGAACTGTGGACTGTCTACTTATGTGTGTTTTTATGGTAGTAACTGTCATTCTTTCATTTCCATGTTTAGAACTCTCTTAAGGATCCTCTGTAAGGCTCATCTAGTGATAACAATTCACTTAGTGATTACTTGTCTGGAAAAGATTTTATTACAAATTCATTATGAAGCTTAGTTTGGGGGAATATGGAATTCTTGGCTGGAATTTATTTTCTTTAAGAATGACAAAAATAGTCCCCCAACATCTTCTGGATTGTAAAGTGTTGGCTGAGAAGTCTGCTGTTAGCCTGATGGGATTCCCTTTGTAAGTGATATGACCCCTTTCTCTAGCTATCTCTAAGATTTTTTCTCTTTTGCATTGACCTTCAAAAGTCTGATGACTGTGTGTCTTGGAGATGGTTGTCTTGTACAGTATCTTGCATGGGTTCCCTGAATTACTTGAATTTACATGTCAACCTCTCTATCGAGATTGAAGAAATTTTCATGGATTACATTCTTAACTATGTCTCCGAGTTGCTTAGTCTCTGTCTCTCGCTGTCTCTCTCAGGAATGCTAATATGTCATAGATTTGGTTTCTTTACATAATCCCATATTTTTCAGGGGCTTTATTTAATTATTTTTCTTTATTTTATTTAACTTGGTTGGTTTGAAGGACCAGTCTTCAAGCTCTGAAATTCTTTCCTTAGCTGTGTCCAGTCTGCTGCTAAGGCTTCCAATTGTATTTTGAAATTCTTGTAGTAAATTTTTCAATTTCAGAAGTTCAGTTTAGTTCTTTCTCAAAATGGGTATGTTGTCTTCCAAGGCTTGGATCATTTTTCTGGCTTCCTTGGATTGGATTTCCACTTTCTCTAGAATTTCATTGAGGGTCCTTGCCATCCAAGTTCTGATATATCTGTCTATCATTTTAGACATTTTAATCTGGTTAGGATGTGTTGTGGGGGTCGAATGTGATCTTTTAGAGGAAAGGAAACACTCTGACTCTGAGTTGCTGGAGTTCTTTTGCTGATTCCTTGCCATCTGAGCATACAAGTGTTTCTTTTTCTTTTTGAAATTGGTGTCATTTGAATGGGGCTTTTTGTTTTTATATTATTTTTTTCCCTTGAGGGTTTGACTGTGGCATAGATTGTGTATGGACGATTGGCTTTATTTCTGGTGCTTTCAGAGTACCAAGAGTCTGTGTGAGTTCTTTAGCAAGTTTTCTGTGTTATGTGTCACAGGCATTGCATGCTGAAGAAATTGATGTTTGTTTGGTGGTATAATTCAGGCGGCAATTTAGTACACGGTGTTTAAGAGTAAGAGCTGTCAAATAGGATCTTACTCAACTGTTTACCTGTTTTGTATCGCAGTACATGTGCAGCAGTGCTCTGGGGAGGGGAGACGGGGTGAGAGATGGCTCCCTCACCAAGTCTGTTTCTGGGTCTTGATGGAGTCCCCTTCAATTACTGGCATCATGTCTGGATTATCTTAATCTCCTGGGGGTGGGGGTGGCAGGGGTTGGTGGGCTGCACTCCACCCTCCCTTAGGGTTGGTCCAAAGGTTAGGTCATCAGGAGACCTTAGGGACCTGTGGGTCCTCTGAACTTGGCAGAGTCAGAGCTTGTTGTGGAATATGTCTGCAGATGGTCTGGTGATGCAGTAAGTCAAGGGCAGAGGATCCTGGGTAAGATGGTGGTACTGTAAGTGGTACCATGGATAGGAAGAATCAATATTGTTAAAATGGCCTTACTACCCAAAGTAATTTAAATATTCATTGCTATTCCTATCAAACTGCTTGTGACGTTCTTCACAGAATTAGAAAAACTATTCTAAAATTAACAGGCAACCAAGAGTCTGAATAGCCAAAGCAATCCTAAGCAAAGAACAAAGCTTGAGGCTTCACATTACCCAACTTCAAACTATACTATAGGGCTGCGGTAACCAAAACAGCATGGTGGTGCAAACACAGACACATAGACCAATGAAATAGGTTAGAGAACCCAAAAATAAACCTGTACCATCTGATATTTTACAAAGCTGACAAAAACAAGCAATTGGGGAAAGGACTCCCTATTAATAAATGGTGCTGGAGTAACTAGCTAGCTATATGCAAGGAAGCTGGACCACTTCCTTGAACTGTATACAAAAATCACCTTAAGATGAATTAAATATATAAATGCAGAACCTAAAACTATAAGAACTCTTGAAGAAAATCTAGAAAATACCATTCTGGACGTAGGCCCTGGCAAAGATTTCATGACAAAGGTGCCAAAAGCAATTGCAATAAAAAAAAATTGACTAATGGGATCCAATTAAACTAAAGAGCTTCTGCAATGCAAAAGAAACTATCAACAATGTTAACAGACAACTCAGAGACTGGGAGAAAATATTTGCAAACTATGCATCTGACCAAGGTCTAATATCCAGCATCTATAAGGAATTGAAAGAAATTTACAAGAAAAAAACAACCCTATTAAAAAGTGGGCAAAGTACATGAAGAGATGTTTCTCAAAAGAAGACATACATGTGGCCAACAAGCATATGAACAAAATTCAACATCACTAATTTTTGGAGAAATGCAAATCAAAGCCACAATGAGATACCATCTCACACCAGTTAGAATGGCTATTATTAAAAAGCCAAAAACAGCAAGTGCTGGCAAGGTTACAAAGAAAAAGGAATGCTTTTACATTGTTGGTGGGAGTGTAAATTAGTTCAACTATTGTGGAAGACAGTGTGGCGATTCATCAAAGAGCTAAAAACAGAAGTACCAGTTGACCCAGCAATCCCATTACTGAATATATACTCAAAGAACTATAAATTGTTCTGCTGTAAAGACACATGCATGTGTATGTTCATTGTAGCACTATTTACAATAGCAAAGACATGGAATTAACCCAGATGCCCATCAGCAGTGGGCTGGATAATGAAAATGTGGTACATATACACTGTAGAATACTATGCAGCCATAAACAAGAACAAGATCATCTTTACAGCAACATAGATAGAGCTGGAGGCCATGATCCTAAGTGAACTAATGCGGGAAAGGAAAACTAAATATCAAATGTTCTCACTTATAAATGAAAGCTAAACAATGAGTACACATGGACAAAGAAGGGAACAATAGACAGAGAACCTACTGGAGGGGCCTACTTGAGGGTGGAAGGTGGGAGGAGGATTAGGATAAAAAAATTACCTATTGAGTGCTGCGCTTATTACTTGGGTGATGAAATAATCTGTACACCAAACTCCCATGACACACAATTTACCTATTAAAAAAACCTGTATATGTATCCCTGAAAATAAAAGTTAAAAAAACACGAGTAGTACATTTTATCCAATGCTTTTATCTTTTCTATATTTCCAGAAATCGATGTTGTTGCTTTGCATTTTTAAAGTAAATGCTGTAGTGTTTCATATTTGAGCCCTATCTTCTCATTTGTCATGTTAGATTCTCAAATATTAAAAAAATTCTGAATATTACTAAGACGAATTGTTCCTTGTGATTGTCTTATGTTTACAAACCCATTTATATTTAACTTGCTGCAATCTGTGCATTTGGGGATGCTAATGTGCTCAATAAATATATTCTGTGGGCACATATCATTGTAGTCTTTTTTGCTTGACCATTTGCTTTTTGAAGCTTCTAGACATCACAGGCATGATAATAGCATTACTATATGAACATTGGTAAATTTGATGGGTAAAAATTTTCAAGATATCTCAAAAGCATCTCCAAATCTATGGAAAAGTAAGGAAAGTCATATGAAGTCATTTTTCCTCATTGTCTAGAGTCTTTATTAGGCCTCAGAGAAGTCTGAAGTATGTCAGGTTACTGGTCTTTTAATGAAATGATACCTCTTTTGAGAGATTATGTCTGGCTTTGTGGGACTGGTAGTCCTTTATGCCTGTTCCCTAAGTGTCAGCTGCTGTTTGTTGCCCCTGGGGGTGTGACTTCCTCTAGAAATCCCCTCTTTTTAATTTGCTATTTCTAACCACCTGTGGATTGATTAGAACCAGATAATCACAATTAGAATTAGTGTTCAAAATCTGAAAACATGTTTGAGTGAAGAACGATGGGGCAATTCAATGAGGAACTTAATGAAGATTAGTGTATGTGCCTTCTAAATCCATTGTAATTGCTCTGAAGAACATTTAAAAAAATACTTGGGGTTTTTTTTTCAGATGCTTAAGCTAGATAGAATCATGTGACCTCCATATAAGTGAAGTATTACCTTCTCTGATGGAAAGAAAATGGGTTGATTGACCAGCAAGAATGTGGCCAGTTGGGAATCCCATTTCTCATTGTAAATTAATAAGCTATTATTTTGCATTGCAATTTTCTTTTTCCTGACACTGGTAAGAATGAGTCAATTTACCAGGTGTATCAAAGGTGAGTAAAAATGAAAGATGAATATCAGGGTGAATCTGCAAAACTGAGGTCAAAATCCTGAATTACAAGCCTATATAATCAGGCTGAAATTACCTCTTGTCTTTTTTATTACATTACTATATATGACATTTGTTTTAGATTAAAAAACAATATGAGAAGGGGAGAAAAAAGAAACCTCAAAACAATCAAAGTGGGTACTTTTGCTGAATACGTATGCAGAACCTGCATCAATCACTCAAAGATGGACAATATAATCTTGGCATCATTCATCCTGTTTTATTATTTGACAGGTAGTTTTAAAATTTTCCTTAGATTTTATAATAGTTTTGCTGAGGCAGGTATGCAAAGACTGCAAGCCTGGATACTAAAAATATAAACTAAGACTTGAATGTTTGCAGCATTAGGATGTTTACAATCCCTGAAGTTCTTTCATCAACACCTATTTATTATTATCTTTGAGGCCCAAGTTTCACATTTTAGTTTAAATCCAGCTAAGTTCCATGCTTTGAGTTCAGTTCAGGTTTAACTAATTTTAAAAAAGCGAATGTTTAATGCTGTGCTTCTCAATCTTGGCTGCAAATTAGATTCACCTAATGAGCTTTAAAACTTCCTAATACCCAGGCCATACCAATTAAATCAGAGTATGGGGATGTGACCTAGGCAAAAGTTCTTGCTAAATCTCCCCAGGTGACTTTAGTGTTCAAAGAACCACTGCTTAGTAATAAAGCCTAATCAGATTAAACTCATCAAAGAGTCGGACAGGTGCCATTATAAACCCATGTCTCCTGCCCAAGCTGGGCCGTTCAAGCTTCTGCATGACTTTTAATTTATTCTTAGCTCCCTCTCACATATATCATGGAGTATTATTCAAAGACCTTACATTGTATTACTTCCCTCTTAGCAGAATATCTTACCGTCTCGAAATAAAACCACAACAAACCAAAACCAAAGGTAGCCATCCACTGTGCAATCCCCCAATTCCCCCTAATTCCCCTCCTCACTTAGCTACAGCTTCCTGAATCACCACTTCCTGCTCAATTGCAGAGCCAATGCCCTTGATTCATCTTCTTTTCTCCCCAGTCCCCTGCTCTTCTGTCTCCCCTCCTGCTCCCCTGCAGCTTCTCCTTTCCTTGGCCCAGCCTTCCTCTCAAGCTGCCACCCCAATTCTCTTCATCTCCTCCAGGCTGTTTGAATGCCTAACCTATAGTCACCATTTCAACTTCCTCAATGCTGTTTCTACTCTGGCTTCCACTCTCACATGCTACCAAAAAAAGCTTCTCAAGGCCCCATCAATGAAAGGCCAGTTTCAATAATCCGCTCCCTCCTTGCCTTATCTCTCTTTACAGACACGCCTGATCTTTTCAGTGCTCTCTCATCTCAGCTGCCCCAACCACATTTCTTAATTCACTTCTTTCTCTTTCTCTGCTTACACTTTAAGTACTTTTGTCCTGTAGGGTTCTACCCTTAGCTAGCTTCTAGACTCTGCATGTTCTTCTTGGGTGCTTCTGGCCAATCTTATGGCTTCAGCTAATTCTCACATGATATTGGTTGGTAGCCCCCAACGTCTCTCCTAGAAACGTTGGGCTTTTACGTTCATCCATAAACACTGCAAAAACCCTCCAAATCTCTGTGCCTATAACTGCCTAGAACATTCACTCAGAAACCACTCCCAACACACAAAACTAAATCCTAAAGGAATAAACAAATCAAAACAAAACAAAAAATAACAGCACAATAAAAATTTCCTTCTGTCTCTGTGCCGCAATTTCTCCAGTCACCCAATCTCTAAGCTGCTGTCTTTCCAGTCACACATGAGACCTTGTGACACTTTAATAATCTATTGAATCCATCTCTTTGTCTGAATTTCACTGCCCAAGTGACGGAACTCATTTTCCTCCATACAAATTATCATAATTTCCTTTCACAGAGCCACCAGAGAGATTGTTTAAAAAACACAAATTTTACTGTATTGTTTCTACTTACAGCTCTTCAGCAGCTGCCCTTTGCTTCCTGCACGCATTACACTTTCTCATAGTGTGCTGATCCTTCCTTCCATGAGTGTCCGCACATCCTTTGCAGGGTTCTTACTATACACAGCCCTCACGCCTCTCAGCTTGTGCTCCAGCCTCACCCAGTGCTGCACTGCACTGACTCCTAGGAGACCTTTTCAGATGTTGCTTGTTATCTCGACATTCCCTCCCCTCAGAGAATCCTACTTATCCTTTAAGATTCAGATAAAGAATTACTTCTTCTGTGAACTTGTTCTCTGAATGGCTTTCTCCTCTTTCACCTCTATTATGGAGTTAGTCACTTCCTAAGTCAGGCTCACACAGAGAGGATAATATAATTGATCACATTGTTTTAAAATTTTTAGAATTTTATTTAAATTTCACCTGTGAAAATAAGCATGTTCTTGTATGGACTGAAATGCTATAAATAATGAGAAAATTCATTTTATTATCCCCCGTTTCAATCTCTTTCCCAGAGGTCAACATGGTTATCACTTGAATGTGTAAGCTTGTAGAACTTTTATTACAATTTGAATGTACACATACAAATATTGAATTAGGGCTGGGCACGGCAGCTCACACCTGTAATCCCAGCACTTTGAAAGGCTGAAGAGGGCAGGTCACAGAAGGTCAGGAATTCGAGACCTGCCTGGCCAACATAGCAAAACCCTGTCTCTACCGAAAATACAAAAATTAGCCGGGCGTAGTGGCGGGCGCCTGTAGTCCCAGCTCCTCGGGAAGCTGAGGCAGGAGAATGGCTTGAACTCGGGAGGCAGAGGTTGCAGTGAGCAGAGATCGTGCCATCGCACTCCAGCCGGGGCAACAAGAGCAAGACTCTGTTTCAAAGAAAAAAAATATTAGTTTTTGAAGCTTTATTGAAATATAATCGACATAAACATTACATATTCAAAATATGTAATTTGATAAATTTTGATATATAGTATGTATATAACGGTGAAATCATCCATGTTTCTCTCTACCACTTTGTAATCCCCCTCTCCCATCCTTTCCCGACCTACAATTCCCAGATAACCACTGTCGTTTTCTGTCATGATGTTTACATGTCCTGACATTTTATATGAATGGAATCATACAATATATGGTATCTTTTTTTCTGTCTTCTTTTACTCAGCAAAATTATTTTGAGATTCATCCATGTTCTTGCATTCCTTTTTATTCCTGAGGAGTATTTTATTGTACAGATACATTTGTGTCTCCATTAAACTATTCAGAAAAATTTGAGTTGTTTTTAGCTTTTGGCTGTTATAAATCTGCTGTGATATTTGTGTGCAAATCTTCATATGGGCACATGCTTTCATTTCTCTGTTATATATTATATGTATTATATATTATGTATATATATTTATACATGTACATAATATATATGTTATATATAATGTATATGGTGTTACACTGAATGGGAGTAATGGGGAAAATTCCATCTACTTCCTCTACCTGAAAGTAGAAATTGAGCTCCAAATCAAATTCCTATATCTCTTTAGTTCCATGAGATTGTCCAGATATCTACTCAGTTATCTGACTCAGCTGCAGTCTTCTGCTTGGTCTCTCAGCCTCTTGCCCTATGCCTAGAATTGGCAAATGCCTTGTGAGAAAAAGTAGCATGGAGAATCTCAGTTAACCTCTCTAAGATTCCCTTTCCTCTCTGATCTTGGCCTCCCACCTGTGTGTTGCTTTCACAGCTTTTCTCTTTCAAACAGATGTGGTTTTTAGTTTGTTTGTTTTATATCAAGCTTTTCCAAGTGTTTGTAGCAGAAGCATCAGTCTGCTTCAAGCTACCCCAATGGAGTAAAAAATAGAAGTTTAAGATGAAGAAACATTATAGACATATCATACTTTTCTATTATTAAATAAGAATATTTGCTAATCTGGTTATTTTTATTCACTCATTTTACAAATATTTGTTCAATGTGAATTGTGTATAAGTTCTCTGCCAGACACCAGCAATGCAGCATTGACTCAAATAGACAAAGCTGCCATTATGAAACTTCAAGTCTAGTAGGAGACCTAGATGTTAAACAAATAATGCCATGCATAAATATAGAATTATGAACTGTTATAAATGCCAAGCATAATCGTGATTATAATAATAATAGCTAACCTTGATAAATTTTTTTCCATATGCAGTTCTCTACTTAAATGTTATTTAACTCACAGATATCTCATACAATGGAAGAGTAAGCTTATTAGAGAAACTTAATGCTATGGCTATTTGAATTCCCAGTTAAAGCTTGAGATTATAAATTAATAGTGCTATTAAGTCTGTCAGGTTGGTGGATTTTCTCCTTCAGAGCTGACCTGGGTATAAGTGTATAGAAGGCAGATCAATGGGTTGGAAAGTGAAAAGAGGAGGTGGATAATGGATATTGAGAAATTGGAGATGTTAATAGGCTGGGTAATGCATTGATATTAGAAAGAAAACTGTAGCAGTGGGGGTACTCGAGCAAGTAAGTTGGAATGGAAGAAAATTGTGATCAGAAAAATGGAGCATGGAAGTGATAATGAATGTAAACAGTTTTTGCTGATGAGAAAGTAAAGGTTATGACTACTTGAGTGGGTAGCTAAGGCAAAGGAGAAGTTCCTAGGAATGAGGAAGTATGGGAACTGAGAGTTTAAGGATGGCTAATTTATGGAATTGTCAAAGTTATTTAGGATGCTTAGCAGGAGCTGCAGTAGAGAAGACTAAGTTTGGAGGAGGGCATTAGAAATGGATTTAAATTTTTGTCAAGGTTCTGTATTGTATCTGTAGCTGCTACTGTTACTAGGATTTGCTTTTGAATTATTTTAAGCAATAGGGTTCCGTGCTAAACAAAATCTTTCAAAGCTAGCCTGAAGTGGCCCGATGTTATATGCATCATAACTATGAACATGAATTAGGTAATTGTGCTATAATATAGTGCCTTTGAGACAACTGAATGGATTATGTTTGGTTTCTTCTTTTACTGTCAAAATATCTCATTTTACTGCTCAGGGTACACATTCACCTCTGGCAGTCCTCCTTTTCATCCTTTTTTTTTTTTTTTTTTTTTTTGCTTTTATTATGAAATGAGAAATCAGATAAATTTATTTAAGAGCATGGAAAGTAGAAGTAAATAGGCTTTGAATAATTATCTGAAATAAACATAAGAATAAGCTGTTTCAGGTATTTATTCAAAGTCTATTTACTTCCACTTTCCATGCCCTTAAATAAGTTTATCTGATTTCCCATTTTTACCTGCTTTTAAAATATATTTTGCAGTTTCTGAACACTTGAGTTTATCATTACATGACTTCAAGATAAGCAAGTCATTACTATATCTGCATAGAGACTTTTATTTCATAATTTTTTTCTATGTAGACTCAAGATGAATAGAATTGCTATTAATATTAATCAACTGAAATTTTAAAGTTTATTTAGATAAGCATAGCCTCATAAAAATTGAAAGCTGAAGAAGGCCTTAGAGCACTTTTATTCCAAGTTAGGTTTAATATGTTACTGTCAAAAATATTTTGAGGGGGTCATCTATAAAGGATATTAAAATGAATATCTTGACCCAGGAATGCTGGATATTAAAAAGTATGATATGAGTCTGTTATTCAATCTGATTATCTTGATTCTGGTTGTCTAGAAATTGAAACTGGAGTTTCCTAATATTAAAAATAAGTACAGTTTTGTAATACATTTATTTGAGACTTATCTTTATAATCTTCAATAAAACTATCTTGAAACATCACTGAAATGAATAACTAAGGGATATTATTCCTTCCATGCACACATGAGTGTATTCAATATTTTAAGTATAGCTATGAACATACAAGTGGGTCATTAAGCATTTAATATCGATGAAAGCAATGTGGCTCCTAAACTTAGAAATCATAGCCAAACTGTGTTAAAAACCAGACTATTTTACATTTGAAGTTAGATAATAGTTTTAACATCATAGCAATACTTAGGATGAGCCACTAAACTTCAGAGGAAGAAAGGACTCTAGCAAAGATCCAATTGCAGATTTTCCAAGCTTTAAAATCACTTAATTTTCTTTGAAGAAATTGAACCCTAGAAGGTTTAAGTAAATTTCTCAATGTTAAACAGAGAATATTGATATTCATTCTTTTTTCTCACGTATTTATTATTTATCTAGTGTATGCCAGGGTGTAGGGAATTCCTTTGCACCAAACAATTTTAAAAAGATCTCCAAGAAGTTCATCATTTAATGGCAAAATGAGGACTGGAATTCAAGACTTCTGATGCCTATTCTTGGCTGCTTTCTGAGAAAACTTTACACCTCATTTGTTTCAACATCTAGGAAGACTTTGGTTCTATTCCAAGTACTCTAAACAAATGATTTTAAGGTCTTTTAGGCCTCATTTTCCTCATTTTTCCCCTTTCAACCTCTTTATTAAGTTGGGTGCATAAAAGATATTTCTCTACTATAAACACCTCTATGCAAATAAACTAGAAAATCTAGAAGAAATGGATAAATTCCTAGGTACATACACCCTCCAAAGACTAAACCAGGAAGAAGTCGAATCCCTGAATAGACCAATAACAAGTTCTGAAATTGAGGCAGTAATTAATAGTCTACCAACCAAAAAAAAGCCCAGGACCAGACGGATTCATAGCTGAGTTCTACCAGAGGTACAAAGAGGAACTGGTACCATTCCTTCTGAAACTATTCCAAACAACAGAAAAAGAAGGAATCCTCCCTAACTCATTTTATGAGGCCAGCATCATCCTGACACCAAAACCTGGCAGAGACACAACAAAAAAGGAAAATTTCTGGCCAATATCCCTGATGAACATCAATGCGAATATCCCTGATGAACATCAATGCGAATATCCTCAACAAAATATTGGCAAACTGAATCCAGCAGCACATCAAAAAGCTTATCCACCATGATTAAGTCGGCTTCATCCTGGGATGCAAGCCTGGTTCAATATATGCAAATCAACAAACGTACTCTATCCCATAAACAGAACCAATGACAAAAACCACATGATTATCTCAATAGATGCAGAAAAGGCCTTCGATAAAATTCAACAGCCCTTCATGCTAAAAACTCTCAATAAACTAGGTATTAATGAAACGTATCTCAAAATAATAAGAGCTATTTTTTGATGAACCCATAGGCAATATCATACTGAATGGGCAAAAGCTGGAGGCATTCCCTTTGAAAACTAGCACAAGACAAGAATGCCCTCTCTCACCACTCCTATTCGACATAGTATTGGAAGTTCTGGCCAGGGCAATCAGGCAAGAGAAAGAAATAATGGGTATTCAAACAGGAACAGAGGAAGTCAAATTATCTCTGTTTGCAGATGACATGGTTATATATTTAGAATGACACAATTGTATATCTAGAAAACCCCATCTTCTCAGCCCAATATCTCCTTAAGCTGATAAGCAACTTCAGCAAAGCCTCAGGATGCAAAATCAATGTGCAAAAATCACAAGCATTCCTATACACCAGTAACAGACAAACAGAGAGCCAAATCATGAGTTAACTCCCATTCACAATTGCTACAAAGAGAATAAAATACCTAGGAATCCAACTTACAAGGGATGTGAAGGACCTCTTCACGGAGAACTACAAGTCACTACTCAAGGAAACAAAAGAGGACACAAACAAATGGAAAAACATTCCATGCTCATGGATAGGAAGAATCAATATTGTGAAAATGGCCATACTGCCCAAAGTAGTTTATAGATTCAATGCTAACCCCATCAAGCTACCATTGACTTTCCTTACAGAATTAGAAAAAACTACTTTAAATTTCATATGGAACGAAAAAAGAGCCTGTATAGCCAAGACAATCCTAAGCAAAAAGAACAAAGCTGGAGGCATTATGTTACCTGACTTCAAACTATACTACAAGGCTACAGTAACCAAAACAGCATGATACTAGTACCAAAACAGATATATGGACCAATGGAACAGAACAGAGGCCTCAGAAATAACACCACACATCTACAACCATCTGATCTTTGACAAATCTGATGAAAACAAGCAATGGGGAAAGGATTGCCTATTTAATAAATGGTGTTGGGAAAACTGGCTAGCCATATGCAGAAAACTGGACCCCTTCCTTACACCTTATACAAAAATTAACTCAAGATGGATTAAAGACTTAAACGTAAGACCTAAAACCATAAAAACCCCAGAAGAAAACCTAGGCAATACTATTCAGGACATAGGCATAGGAAAAGACTGCATGACTAAACCACCAAAAGCAATGGCAACAAAAGTCAAAATTGACAAATGAGATCTAATTAAACTAAAGAACTTCTGCACAGCAAAAGAAACTATCGTCAGAGTGAACAGGCAACCTACAAAATGGGAGAAAATTTTTGCAATCTATCCATCTGACAAAGGGCTAATATCCATAATCTACAAGGAACTTAAACAAATTTGCAAGAAAAAAACAACCCCATCAACAAGTGGGTGAAGGATACGAACATACACTTCTCAAAAGAAGACATTTATGCAGCCAACAAACGTATGATAAAAGCTCATCATCACTGGTCATTAGAGAAATGCAAATCAAAACCACAGTGAGATACCATCTCATGCCAGTTAGAATGGCAATCATTAAAAAGTCAGGAAACAACAGATGTTGGAGAGGATGTGGAGAAATAGGAAGGCTTTTACACTGTTGGTGGGAGTGTAAATTAGTTCAACCACTGTGGAAGATAGTGTGGCGATTACTCAAAGATCTAGAACAAGAAATGCCATTTGACCCAGCAATCCCATTACTGGGTATATACCCAAAGGATGATAAATCATTCTACTGTAAAGACACATGCACACGTATATTTATTGGAGCACTGTTCACAATAGGAAAGACTTGGAACCAACCCAAATGCCCATCAATGATAGACTGGATAAAGAAAATATGGCACATATGTACCATAGAATACTATGCAGCCATAAAAAAGGATGCATTCCTGTCCTTTGAAGGGACATGGATGAAGCTGGAAAACATCATTCTCAGCAAACTAGCCCAGGAACAGAAAACCAAACACTGCATGTTCTCCCTCATAAGTGGGAGTTGAACAATGAGAACACACGGACACAGGGAGGGGAACATCACACACTGGGGCCTGCCGGGGGTTGGGGGGCTAGAGGAGAGATAGCATTAGGAGAAATACCTAATGTAGATGATGTGTTGAAGGGTGCAGCAAACCACCATGGCACGTGTATACCTATGTAACAAACCTACACATTCTGCACATGTATCACAGAACTTAAAGTATAATTTTTTAAAAGAAAATATTCATTCTCATATCAACAATTCTTGAATTCTTGTCGTGGAGAAAAGCAACAAAAATAAGGCAATAGAAAGATGTGCTTCACACTATAAACAGTCGTTTTGTAAGAATAGGAACTCTGGATCCCTGTACAACAAAAAATTAAGAAGCTAATGAGAATAATCCCTGTATTCACAATACACTCAATTGCATGTGAAAGACAATGCACCCATAATATAGCTCACTTAGTGTCCTTTGTTTATAATGCATAATTCCTTAATCATTCGTTTGTGAAATAAGAATGAACTTTAAGAAACATAAAATCTGAATAATATTTATTTTCACAATATCATTGCTAATCTCAAAATAGCAACTTCCTTGACTCAAAATGTTAAATGTTTCAAAAACAAAAGATATATATTTTTTACCTTCTGAATAGAGTCTGCAAAAAAAGGTGGATTATTTTACTAAACTTGCAAAGAGACTAGGTCTCAGCCTGTACTTAAGAAACATGAGCAACAAAGGTGGCAAACAAATGTCACTAGAAGTAATGCCCATACATGCCAAAATATCTAGTTCAACCATGTTATTTCCACTAACATAGCAAGCCTATTAAACAACCAGCACAAGGTAAGCTTATACTTTATGAGACAGAATTACTAAATTAACTACCCATCTATAAAAATTTCAAAATTCCTCATCTCAAAATAATTTTAGTGCACGTATTAAGTACTACAGACTATGTAGAAAGAGACATATATACATATATACATCCAGTCTTTGCAATTTAAATTTTTTATAATGTATAAACACTGTTCAGACATGAATTTTGAACTAACAGTGTTTTTTCCTAAATTTAATTTAGGTAATTAAGCCTTTCTTAAATGAAGACAGGTAATAGGTATATGATCTCTATAAACTTTTACAGTAGTTTATACTCCAAATAAAAATTTTCTTCCCATTATAATATGACAATATAACTGTTTTCTGAGTGAAGATATATGTAAGGCTTAAGGTTTAAACTCTTTGGGAGACAAACAGCATAGTGAAGAAATATCTGTTCATTTAAAAATATGTACCATCTCATAATAGGCCACTGACATTTCAAATTTACATGTAAGAATACATTTATACCTTAAATTTCTAGGAAAGGCACAGGATTCATGTTAAAAAAAAAGCAAAACTTTAAACTCATCAATTTATTGAAAAGCCATTACTCCTATTAGAAACAAATAATGCAAGATGTTGGCAACAAGACATAGCACAAAAATATATTTCATAAATGTATTTCTCCCTTTATATTCTGGCAGGAGATAGAATATCTCTTTGGCTAGGAGAAGCAGAAGTATTTGATGGACTGTGCAAACTGGTCTCTTTGTACAAAAACGAAGCATTTCCTCCCTAAAGCCAAAGATCACAGATCCATTTAGGGACCCCATGGTAGTCATAGAGCCAAATGAACATGTTACTCTTCGCTGATTGCAAGGCAGATGTTCCTGAACATTATTGTGACTGGTAGCTATTTCAGCATTTGTAAGAGCTTTAGCCTAGGTTGAAAGGCTCACTAACCTCAAAAAGTGGCAAAAAGAGCTGCAACAAAGTCAGTTATGGAAAGGTTTTTTTTTTTTTTCACTATGCCCATATGTGTTCATGTAACCAACATAAAGCAGAAGAGCAGAAATGCAATGCAAGAAGACAAAGACTACAAATATAAGACAGAATTGTGCAGAAGAAGAGCAACCTCCTATAAAGACATGACTTTTCCAATTTACATCACACACATTTACATCTGGAGGTGACTGAAATGATGCCTGATTCAACCTGAATGGATAACCAAAAAATAGCAGTAATTGTTTTAATGTCAGTAATTTTAGGAGAATAACTTATTCAAATATCAGTTTTGTCCTTAAAATCTCCACAAGTGGCAAAAGCACAGATGGAAATGATCTGTTGGAGAATATCGAAGTCAAGCAGCTCTTTGAGGGTTGAGGCTGATCTGGAAGGTGGGCATCCTCTGAGGGAAGGAAGGTGAGTAAGGATAGCCAGGGGGAGGGAAGGTCTGTAGGACAGACCCCTATTTTCCTCATTTTTAACCTAAATATACAAGCAACTTGCTCTCTCTCTAGGCTGCTTAACAATATGATAGGTGTGAAAACATCTTGAATTGTGCAAATAGAGTAGTAGGTGAGAAAACAGGTGCAAAGTAATTAAAAGATTTATCAAAGACCACTCAGCCAAGAAAAGATAGAGGTGTGTGCTTAGCACCCAATTTCCTGACTACTATTTTGGGAAGCAATTAGTTCCTTTTCAGTTACTATTGACCCTCTTTTGATTCTATCTGGATAACATGAATGAAATCTTTAAAAACAAATGGCTTCTAAAATTATTAAATAAAACGTTAGTGTTTTAGCCAGGAATCTCCAAGAGGAACAGAACAAATAGGACATGCATCTATATAGAAAGAGATTTATTTTAAGGAATTGGCTCACCTAATTAGGAGGCTTGGTGAGTCCAAAATCAGATGGGAGAGGTTGGTAGGCAGGAGTGTTAGGAAAGAGTTGCAATTCAAATCTAAAGGCAGTCATCTGTGGAGCCAGGAAAAGATGATGTTTTAAATGAAGTTCAAAGGTATCCTGCTGAAAGATTCCTCTGTCTTGTGGGATATCAACCTTTTGTTTGATTCAGGCCTTCAATTGTTTGGATCAGCCCTACCTATATTATGGAGGGCAGTTTGCTTTACTGAAAGCCCACCAATTTAAACGTAAATATCATCCAAAAACATCCTCACAGAAACATCCAGAGCAATGTTTGATCAAATATCTGAGCAACATCACCCAGCCAAGTTGACACACAAAATTAACCACCACAGTTAATATTGATTAATATATGTATATAATGTGGATTATAAAATCATGCCTAACTTAGTTTGGAATAAATATCGAAGGCATCATTTTAACCCCCATCCCCCAGGCCTTTTTTTTAACCCTGTAGGCCATTTTTTTAATCTAAAAAATTAAATATTTTGCATAGATGATTTGTAATATATCTTATAGACATTATATTCTACAATTCACCATAAAACTTGAATTGAAACTAATTAGAATTTAAAAGCGCTATAGCAAAGAAATATTTATACAATTCATTTATTCAATAAATATTCATTTAAAAAATTAGTTAATTTAGTGTTCCTTCTCTTAAGAGCCATTTCAAGCATCATTCCACATTATGAATTAAATTGAACACTTAAAATTTCAGTTTTTAAAAGTGAAAGTTGTAAAACTTGCGATTCCATGGCTGATCATTTCTAATTTTTGGCCATATATATTTTATTTCATTGATTTACCTAGATTATAAATGCATTCAATTTGTATTTTAATCAATTGATAAATTTACCAATAAACCAGCCAACCAATAAATGTCTATCATGTACAAGCTATTTGACCAAACACAATTTAAAATCTTGAAACCTGCCTCTGATATATGCCTCTATCTTGTGTAAAATAGACTTCATACCTCAAAGGGATACTTCTCATTACCTTAGATCAAACAATCTTACACTAAAAAGAAAGGCCAGAGAAGGCCATCTGCCTTAGGTAAATAACTCTAAGGAAGGTTTAAAAAATTTCCAAAAGAGCAAAGCTCTGAAGTGCTATGCATAATAAATGCTCATTTGTATGATGCAATATTAATAAAACACAAACATATTCATGATTAAAATCAGGCCAGATTCCAGAGCAGCTTTGAAGAGTGATAAATTAAGTATTTATTTTTCAATTAATCTAATTTTATTCAAAACTGTAATGTTATGAGCACAATGGTAGTGCATGGTAATAGAACAATAGTAAAGCTAAACAGTTTTTGTCCTGGTTCCTTCACTCACTAGCTACATGACTTTATATTTTTACTTTTTCTGGGCCTTAGAGCAAGTTTAACTTTCTGGCTATAGGTTAGGAATAAAGGTGAACACATTAATGGAAGCAAAATTGCAAAATATCTGTTAGACACACCAAAGATTCTATGCCAAACTCAAGGAACATGTTTTGCACTTATACATTAGGATGTATAAAATACATCATATTGTCTTATACATTATTATGATAGGCACTTATAGCAACATAGGGTTATGGTCAATTCTATTTTTTAGAAAATAAGAATTATAATAACAAGTTTGGGTTAAATGTAACCGTAGGGATCTGACTATATTTGAAATTCAATAGTCTTACAGCCATTAGATTGAAAATTTCACAAATACAAGTGAAAGAGTTACTAAGGAAACAAAATTTGATCTACATGATTTCAATGCTTTTGAATATCCTATTTTGTAAAGTCACAAAAGTACTCCCTAGCCACTTTGCTCCATGGCTGAAAACATGAAAAGAAAAGAAAGTTCTTATAGATAATTTATATGTTGCATGTATGACAATTTAAATGTATATTTTTTCTTTCATTTAAAGTATCTACAGTTTTTGTTTTAACCCCCAGCAATTCTATCATTTTTCTTCTAGCTGTATAAGCTCCTAAACGTAAGTTTTGTCATTAATACATTGATGAATTGGTTGTTTGATAGATTCAGTCATTTATTCACTCTTTTCTTAAATATCTGCCAAAGTCACTAAAGGGGTTATTATAAAAATTACTCAAGGCCGGGCGCGGTGGCTCACGCCTGTAATCCCAGCACTTTGGGAGGCCGAGGCGGGCGGATCACGAGGTCAGGAGATCGAGACCATCCCGGCTAAAACGGTGAAACCCCGTCTCTACTAAAAATACAAAAAATTAGCCGGGCGTAGTGGCGGGCGCCTGTAGTCCCAGCTACTTGGGAGGCTGATGCAGGAGAATGGCGTGAACCCGGGAAGCGGAGCTTGCAGTGAGCCGAGATCCCGCCACTGCACTCCAGCCTGGGCGACAGAGCGAGACTCCGTCTCAAAAAAAAAAAAAAAAAAAAAAAAAATTACTCAAGATTCTGGTTCTTGTCTCTCCTATCCAGCATTTATTTCCATCTCCCCGTTCATCATATAATTTCTTCCCTGTTGTTGGTCATTCTTTAAATTCAGCCTCCACATTACATCTTGATAATACAACTAAAGCACAGACCTGGCTTGGCATTCTTGGTCCTACTATTTGTTTCATCCTCTGCCTGACTTTTTGCTTCTCATAACACTGAACTAATACACACACACACACACACACACACACTCAAACAAAACTATTTTCATCCTCCTCACTCCTTGCCTTTGCCAATAGCCTTTGCTCTACTTGCAACATCTACTTGTAACACTTTCACTTTCCTAGACCACTTTAACCTACCCTACATGCCCCCAAGGAAATTCCTTTTCTTTTGGTTGCCCCAGATTTCTTTGTTCTTTTATTTACTGTAGTAGACTCAGAATATTGTTTTTATGTTTGTGTCTATCTTATCTCACTTTATCTTTTCTTCTTCTGCAATCTTATTCAATCCCTCAAAATGCAGCCTTAATTCAATAATTCTATTTCACAACCAGGGTTCATATTTGTCCTAGGAGCTCCAGGTCTCTGATCTTTCCCTTCACATATGCTCTTCCTTCACTGTCCCCCAACAGAGGAATGACAACATTCTTTTAATAACAGAAAAAATGTTTTAGTGATTACTACATGCAAGGCACTCTACTGGACTACAGTGATGAATGAGAAAGACATGGTCCCTATGTTTAGGTGAGTTTGCATTCCAGCAGACAGATGGGAAGATATTAAACAACTTATTAATACATCTAACAGACTTCTTTAATCACAATTATATATAGCACGTAGTCTTGACATTCTTTCTGTTGTGAGCAAACAGAAAGGTCAATTTATTCACACACACACATGCTCATGCATGCACACACACACACACACAGAGAGAGAGATAGAGAGAGAGACATACCCATAGCTAACTCCAATAGCTGGTATCCTCAAGGCTTTGCTGTTTGGTGCTGGTGGCATTGATGTCCTGGAGGTCAACTAGCTTTTTCAGTCCAATGAACAACAGTAGATGGCCCAACACCTCAGAGAAGCTTGGGATAAGGCTTACTCCTCTTATTCTGCCATGCTGAGTGGCCTGATGTGTACGTGGGGGGAGAGATGGTGCTGTGATAGGGGACAACTGGTGATTAAGGACATGGTTTAACTCTGTTTTTCTTAAGGAACGCAAAATCCCCTGCATCTCCAATTTTGGCTTAGGGGAATGGAGGAAAGTTTGAGGACAATGGCCGTCACTTTTTATGAGCCTGCTCATACTCCAGTTGGATAGAGACACATTTGCAAAACTCTCTCCAGAAACTCCAGCTGACAAACTGTGTAACTGTCTTCTATGCTACAGATGACTCCAAACTCTGGAATCATGTGAAGAAGAGTATGAGTAAGCAGCAAATGTGCTTTATTCTTTGACTCCCCAGATGCTCTCTCAAATCATTTTCTCATTCTGTCCCTGTCCATACCAAACTGCCTTCAGGTCTTGGAAGGCGTTATTTTCCCCTCTACCATGAAACTTGTGCAGGTGCTGCACCCTCAGGCTCAAATTTCTTTTTCACCCCTTCCCTTCTTAACTCCTTGCTTATTCTTCAGTTTATAATGTAAAAAATCCACTTCCTGGGGCAAGTTGTTCTCTCTTTCTTTTATAGTCTTATGGCAACTCAAATGCCATTCCTTGTAGCACTCATCTACATTACAATTATATTGTCTTTATTTGTGGGATTTACAAAAGTCTGTCTCCCACACTTACAGCTGACATTTGTAGTTGAGAGCCCCCAGCAATAGAAAGGACACCAGTAGCTAAAGCCAGTTATGTATACATGTGTGCTATATATATATATTCATAAGAATAAATTGAGATGCTCCCACTGGGCCTAAGCCATGCTAGCACCTTCCCAGGATACCCAGCATCTCCCCCAGGAGACTTTTGCAGTGGACAACCTCCTGCTCCATGGTAACCACATGATGAAAAATGCAAAATGTGGACACGTTAGAATAAATGCAACAGGACTCAGTGGAATGTGCTACTCAGGCACTGGAGACATATGTCATAGAAAAGGACATTGTGGCCCATATCCAGAAGAAATTTGACAGGAAGTACAATCCCATCCGGTATTGCATCATGTGGGGGAGCCTAGGCAATTCTGTCACACGTGAAGCCAAACACTTCATCTACTTCTACCTGGGCCAGCTGGCTATTTTTTTGTTCAAATCTGGTTAAAAGCATGGCCTGTGCCACACATCCGGTGATCTATCCAAAAACAAGGATTGCAGCCTAAATTCCAAATACCAGAGACTGGAATATCCAGCTGTGCTAAGGGAACACTTCTTTTTTGAAGCTTTATTGTGTTTTGTTTGGGGCATTATCTGTACTAGTTTGTTGTGGTTATAAAATAATTAACAAAACAGCTTACATATGTATTTATTTTCTATTCTAACCTTCTCTGCCCCACGTTTTTGGTCTCAAAATCCATTCCTTAAAAAAAATAAATCTGTTGCAGATATGAAAAAAAGAATAAATTAATCTTCCTGTTGGCTTGTAACTGAGTCAAGAATTTCAATAATAAATGCTACATATAATTTTCGGGCTAGAACATGTATATGCTAATCATTGAATATTAGTGCTTGATAAGGCATCTGGCATTTGGTAGCTAATAAATACATGGGGAATGAATAAATGAATAAATATTAGCCTTAATGAATTTTGATGTAAAAATTGGTATATGGAAGCTTTATTTTTACAAAACAAAAATTTATATGCCAAAGCACTGTAGATCAAGTGTGTCATAGCCACAGTGAGCTATTTGTTTTTCCTCAGGAGGAAATGTAACTGCAGTGAAATTCATCCTTGTAGTGCTGATGAATTATGGTTCAGTGATTAGAGAAGAAAAAAACAAGGTTCAAAGAACAGAATGAAAAATAGCAGTCAGACACTCCAGTATAAACCCTGCTATGTGTGTGTTTGTTGGTTTGTTTAAACATTAATTAAAAAGTGGCTTCAGTGATAGTTTCCATAATGCCTTTTATTTTCCCTTTATACAGCCCAGATGTTAGAAACAATGCCAGGTTTTAATAATGATGATGTCAGAAACCTCCAACATGGAGACCTTTGAGTAATGAAGCAGAGGCTTGAATCTGAGCTTCTTAGGAATTATTTCAAGGCTTTGTAAAAAGTGTATCTCTAAATGAACTATATATAACTATATATACTAAATAAAAAGAATACTTCAAAGTCTTATAATTACTAAATTCATGCATTCAGCTAAAACTTTTTATCTTATAACAAACACATCTGTCATCCTATTCTTACACCCACCGCAAACAGTGCCAATCTGAAATACCTATAAATCTGTTCATTCTGAACTCATTAAACTTGGGAACATTATCATTTCATCCTAAGCTTGTCCTGAATGCACAGAACTACAGTAAGATGTAAGGGACCTGGGCTGTAAGTTAAGAAAACTGTCACTGTGGTCCTGTCCTCTCTGTCAGCCTGACTTCAGATAGGACCAGACTTGAGCACCGCCAACACATGTTCTTTTAAAGATATTCACAAAAGGTGATTACACATTACTTTAAAAACATTTTTTAAATCAATATTTGTCTGAGACTGGATACACTGAAACTGGTTTGATCTTAGGTTATCAATCTCTGAGTAAGCATTAAGAATATACTAAAATCATATTAAATTACCCTTGGCTATGTCTTTTCTACCAGAATGAATCTAGTTCTTTTCCAGGTGATGATGATTAGGTGTAAAGCAACCTGCAGTTACTTGAGTGAACATTTTTTTCATTAAGAAACTGATATGGTTTAGATGTTCGTCCCCTCCAAATCTCATGTTGAAATGTGATCCCCAATGTTGGAAGTGGGGCCTGGTGGGAGATGATTGGATCATGGGAGTGGATCTCAAGAATGAGTTAGGACCATCCCCTTAGTGATAAGTGAGTTCTTGCTCAGTTCATGCAAGATCTGATTGTTTAATCCAAGGGATTTAATCCAAGACACCAAGGGACCTCCCTCCTTGGTGTCTTGCTCCCGCTCTCTCCACGTGATGCTCTCGCTCCTGCTTCAGCTTCTGCCATGACTGTAAACTTCCAGAGGCCCTTGCCAGAAGCCAAGCAGATGTTGGTGCCATGCTAGTAGAGCCTGCAGAGCCATGAGCCGATTAAGCCAATTAAACAATTTTTCTTTGTAAATCACTCAGTCTCAGGTATTTCTTTATAGTAACACAGAAACGGACTAACGCAGAAACAAATGCACTTTAATTGATAGTGTACACAGACATGAGGCAGCAGTGGTATGGCTGAGACCAGGCCCCATACTTGTCTTGGCCAAAGTAAGTGGTCTTCTTACAGGGTCTCAGGTGGTGGGGGTGGGAGGTGGGGTTGGGGAGAAGCAGAGTCAGAGCTTCTGCTTTGACTGGCAGGAGGCCTGTAGACAACAGATCCAGGCAGGGGCCAGGGCTGAGGTATAGGTATGCAGAGCTGTGGCTGGGACATGTGTATATCTGTGTGGACAGGTATTTTCAAAACACCTACAGCTACACAGGGTCAGTCTTTTTGGGGTAATATAGGTTAATTCTGGACATTGTATGGATGTGTTCAACTGATAGAAATCTTTGAAAACCAAGTAGCTAAATACATAAACAGAATCAGAGCTCACCCTAGTAGATACAAGTACAGTGGTTGCCTTTTCAGTTTCCTTTCCCCTCCATAGTTAAGTCTAATAAGATGGTGTCTAGCTGGGATATAGCCTTCACCCTCGAGAAGCCCAGCTCCTCTGCTATCTCTCTTCCTTGGCTCTCCTGTCAGTGTGTGCACATGCCCACAATCACACCCTCTACACCCCCCATCCCCAAACACACATGCAGACATAGATAACTTAGTAGACCTCAAGAAATCAAAAGAAATAGAAACAGTTATTGCCCACCAAAATCGGGGGCCAGTAGGATCCATTGTAATTTCTTGACATGGGAGTAATATTTTTAAAAGGTGCTTTTAGCAAATCCATGTGTCAGTGAAAGCTGCATTATACTTGCCAGATTAATTTATCAACTTTAGACAGAATTTATTGATCTTCTGCTATCTAGTGGGGAGAAAATGGAAATAGAGAGATTTACTAGGAATCTGCTGCAGTGAACCTGTCATGACTGAATAAGGGTCTTATCTAGTTGATGGGATGTAGAGATTGATAGGAGTCAAGGGACAGGAAGAGGCAGAGATACTTTTAAGTTTGCAGGGTAAAAAGAAAAGGCAGTAACTTGGGAGTAGAGGATAAAAGGAGCAATAAGTTTGTCTCTGGGCATTTTGGTTTATGATAATACTGGTCTTTCCAAGTGAGGATGTTCTGTGGGTAGCTGGAAATGGATGACTAAAACTCGGGAGGGGGAAGGCAGAAAAAATGATTTGAAATACAGAGCTGTGGAATATTGTGTATCAATTTCAGCATCTTATTCATCTCAGGGTCTCAATGCCTTTTTTGAGTCTTACTTTTCCTTCCACTGGCAATTAGAAAGTATTTGAAATTTTCTTCATGCTGGTGCTAATTATCCTTTGATTGGACTATTGCAATACCTTGGAATTTGTCTCTTCAGTTTCATCTTTTCCTTGCTCCAGTACATCATATATGACTTTGTTCCAAGCGCAATTCTGCATAAATAATGTTTTTGGCTCCCTGTTGCCTACAAAATCTAAACCAGATTTTTCTTAGCTTGACTTTTCAGCTTCAATCTACTATTTGCAAACTAATTGCTCGTTATTTTCCTTCATACATTTAGCAAACTGATCTACTTGCTGATCATCACTCATGCTTGATGCTTTCCCATCTTTGTGTGCTGCTTCTGCTGATCCTAGATGCCTTTCCTTAGTCAGAATGCCCTAACCCTAAAAGCTCAGGTGAAGTGTTGGCTCTACTATAATTGCCCCAGCTGAGCAAATCCCTTTCCTCAATTCCCTTTTCACTTCATCTGTGTGTTGTATACCACTAAATCCATTTTATCTTATAGTTATTTGATCATACTCCTTATGTCCCTAAAAAAGACCTTTAAGTTTTTTGAAGATAAGAACTCTTTCCGATAAAACTTCGAAGGTTTTTGGTACTCATTATTATGTTTGGCACATAGCAGCACTCAATATTTATTAAAATAAATATGCTTTCCCCTAATCATGTTAAATTTGAAATTTTAAGTTAAGGTTTTTTGCTTACAAGCAAGAGAAAATAACTCTGTTTAACTTAAGTCAAAAAGAAAGCATTTATTAGAATACCATGATGCAACTCACAATAGTGATGGAAAAGTTGAGGAACTACCTCTCAAAAAGCAGAGAAATCAGGATGTCCCAGGGACTTGGGGAGCAGGATCTAAGGAAAATCTCAGGGTATTACCATTTGCATTAACGAGCTCCAACAGTTTTCCCATCTCAACCTCATTTTGGTCAAGATTCAAATTCTCCAAATAACTCTGATTGGCTTTGACTGGGCCACCTGCAGGGAGTGAGTAGATCTCCTTGGCTAACAGTCCCAGTGAAACTACACATAGTGAAGACTGGGTTATTTCTCAAAGCAAAGTTGGAGAAGAGAGATGCCTGGCAGGTAAGAAGAATGGATTCTAACACACCCATCTGTGAAACCTCTATGTGTATTTATTTATGCATTGATTTATTTAACCAATCAAAACTTATTGGGTGCCTGTCCTACCAAACAATATGCTAATTGCTGGGGATATAAATATGAGTAAGTTGTAGATCATATCTTTAAAAAGGTTTGCAGTATAGTATGTTTATATTGCTTCCCCTGATTCATTTTATAATTTTATTAAAATGAATGGTTAAACAAAAAGTGAAATCTCTGGGGAACTTTTCACTGCATCATACTTCCCTCGTGTTCTGTGACTTCAATGCTATATGGACCATCCATCCAGCATTCTAGCCTCTGAGTTCCATGCCTTCCTCATCGGTCATAAGTGTGTTAAGAGACAAAAATCAGAGAGGTCTACAAGGCAGGTTGTCTAGAGCCTTGGAGGCCTTGGTAAGGAATTTAGATTTCATTGAAAGTGTGATTGGGAGCAATTGAGGGCATAGTCAATTCAGAGAAGATCACTCTGGCTACTATCTGGAGAAGAAGTTACGAGAAGACCAGAGACAAGAGTGGGAGCAGGACTCTGTAAGCAGGATGTCACAGTGGTCTAATGGTACTTTAGACAAGGGTGTTAGCAGAGGATAGGTGAAAAGTAAACAGGTTTGGGAAAATACTTTTGTTGTGAAACTAATGAGACTCACTCATGGAGTGGATTCAGCGATAAAGGAGGAATTGAGGACAATATCTAGGTGTATGCAGGTGCCATTTTCTGAGATCCTTATTTTCTGTTCAATTTACTTCCATTATGTCGATTTTTCTATCTCATTTTGATCACTAATCCATGAACCCTTTTACTATTTTCCTAATCAGTTCTATCCTGCATTCTCTTTCTTCCCTAAAAAACTTGGATCAATGATGCATTATTTCTACTGTTCTTATTAACATCTTAAACTCTTCCTCCTCAATGCCCTCCCATTGTATCTGTCTGGTAACACATTCACCAAACCGCTTACCTTTTATGACCCTTTGGACTATTGAAACGTTACACAGAAATGCTTATTCAGAACACAATACACTCAGCTACTATTCTCAACTGCTAACACTGGCAATTTTGTCAGTTCCCTATCAACCCTTGCTTCTCTTCTCTATCGTGACTACTCTGAAACCTCTGACTCCTCTTTCTTACTGTTTCTCCTTCTTAACATGTGAACTCACCATGTACTTCACAGAGAAAACAGAAATTTGAAAAAGGATTTCTTTTTCTTCCTGCTACCAAGTCTGCAAACCTTTCCTCCTTTTTAGTGAAAAGAGGTGAACCCTCTCTTGCATGGACTCTTCTTGCCACCTGGGCTCTGGATCCACCTGTACCATGACCTCACTTCATTGATGACTCAACTTACTTTCCTTTGGTCAGCTTGCTTCTTTCTCCTTGCTTCTTTTAGTAAGGACTCAGATCTCCACAAACCTCTTTCTTAAAAGCAATATTGGGAAAACAAACAAACAACTAAACCTTACTCATTCCAACTCTCCACTCTTTCCAGGCCCTTTGCTAAATCTCTCAACTGCTTTATAACTATACATATTGAAAGAATGGTCTACATTACCTCCCTCAATATTCTAATTTGCCACTTATTCCTCAACCAACACTCTGGCTTCCCTACACACTACTCTAAAGAAAATGCTGTTGTAAAGGCTACAAAACAAAATACACACGGGTGGTGATGGTGACATTTAGTGGGCATGCTTCCATTTTCATTTGGCTTATCCTGTCCTCAGCATTGGACACTGGGCAGTGTCGTTTTTTTCTTGGCTTAGGTACCATCATAGTTTATTTTCCTGGTGCTTCTCTTACCTCTCTGGCTTGGTTTTCCTCCCTCCCTCCCTCCCTTTCTTCCTTCCTTCTTTCGTTCCTTCCTCTTTTCTTTATTCCTTCCTTTCTTTTTTTCTCTCTTTCTCTTTCTTTCTTTTTTGAATTTATTTATTTTTTTTCAGTTAGTTTCCTAAGTGTTACTCTCCTCTTGAGTTTATTTTCTAGGCTTTTTTTTCACCTTTGGGTAATATATTAATTTGGTCTCTCATTTGGACCCTTGAAGTTTCTCTAGAAATGAATCTTCTGATGATATGCTGCTGCTGCTACTGTTGCTGTGTGTGTGTGTGTGTGTGTGTGTGTGTGTGTGTGTGTGTGTTGATGATGATAAGCTTAGCTTCCTATCTTCTTTGAACCAGTAATAAAGGAGGTTGCGGGTGGGGCACTTATGGTTCTACCTGCAGCTATTCATTCAACTTATCTCCTTGTTTTCAGTCTGGTTCCTTACCCTTGCCCTCTGACAGGCATGGTGTGCCCTAATCTACATCCTCTCTGGTTCAATTTGTCTTGAGAATAAATCTCCTGCTTCCTTCAGGGGTAGGGAAAGGGAACTTACTTGACTGCTTCAGTTAAAGTGAGGTTTCTAATAACCTTTAAAAAGAAAGTGTCTGAGCAATATTTTAAACATGACATCAGCTGTATACTTGAAGTCTTTCATTAGGATGAGAAATTAAATTTTAAAAACTTAGAAAAACAAAAAATTATCTCATGAACTAATTAGTGACTATGTAAAAGAGAAGCTTTGGAGTCTTTAATTGTTTTTGTCTGGGAATAGTTACCAAAGATGTTGCCACAGTATTATCGAGCTATTTTAGCTTCATAGTATACAAAGTTCACTGGCTATATTAGCTATTAAATTATTTGGCTTACCTACTAGCCTTTGCAAAATTTCCCCTACAAATAGCCATGAATTCAAACTATGGCTCCAAAGACTGTATTTTTGCTGCATTTGTGTGTGTTAAGTGAAGAATTTTTTCAAGGTTTTATTTCTCATTTCTTATACTTTACCTAACAGCTGCTCTCTCCATCACTCTCCCCCTACATTTCCTTTTCTGCATTCTTTGATGAGTTGACCCTGTCTCCATTACCTACAGAAAAGTAAATTATAGTCCAATCAAAATTGTACTTTTCAGAAGATTGCTCAGCTGAGGACCATTAATAACACCACACTGTGAGACTTTAAATAGTTCTCTTTTCATATGGGCAGGCATATGTGCTTTGGAATAGTGGTGTCCTTGTAAATGTCACCTATTTGTTTCTCATCTTTAATTAATGGGATTTTCCCAAAGGCCACTAATGAAAGATATTACCCTTAATTAAAACACAACTGTACATTTAGAAATGGAAAAAAAAGTAGAGCTTATGCTCAATGAATATGCAGCTACAGTGAAGCATTCTCATTTTGAAACATAATGCTGGATGTTATACATAAGAGGATAGATTTTTAAATTAAGTGTGGATTTTGTTTTCTTCTAAAAATGAGGTCTCAGTAAAGGTGAAATGCCTGTGCTATCATTTCTCCTGAATTTGCTTTTCTCCTGATCTATTAATATTTAAATTTGTGTGAGAGCTGGTCATTATGTTTCAATGTTAGATGGAAACACTAGTCATTTGGGCAGTGGTGCTTGTATCATTTCAATTTCTTCACTGCCTGCTCTGCTCCAGGCATAGTGCTAAGTGCTAGGGAATAGTGAATGGTGATCAACTAAACTAAAATGAGCATGCTCATCAAAGATTGCATTCTGGTAAGTACCATTAACAAACAGTGTGTCAAGATGGGGGCCACTTTGAATTGGAAGGCTAGGGTGATCTTTTCTGAGAAGCTGATACTTGAGCAGAAACTTGAAGGATGATGATACGGTTTGACTGTGTCCCCACCCAAATCTCACCTTGAATTGTGATAATTCCCAATGTCAAGGACTGGGTCAGGTGGAGATAGCTGAATCATGGGGGCAGTTTCCCCCATAATGTTCTTGTGGTAGTAAATAAGTTTCATGGGAGCTGATAGTTTTATAAATGGGAGTTCTGCAGAAGCTCTCTTGCCTGCCACCATGGAAGACATGCCTTTGCTTCTCCTTTGCCTTCTGCCAAGATTGTGAGGCCTCCCACACCATGTGGAACTGTGAGTCCATTAAACCTCTTTCCTTTGTAAATTACCCAGTCTCAGGTATGTCTTTATTAGCTGCATGAGAACAGACTAATACAAATTATAAAAACCTAGGCAAGCAAAGAACTGAGGAAAGAGGATTCCAGGCAAAGAAAACAACAAAGTCACCCTCCATGAAGAGGGAAGGAGCTTAGAAGAGTTAATATGAAAAATGAAGGCCAGTAGGGAAGAAGCATCACAATCCAGGGAAAAAAAGAGATAACGTTGGAGGGAAATAGGAGCCAGCCCTGCGGAACTCACAGGCCTTGGTAAGGGTTTTCATAATTTATTTTAGGAGCAAAAAGACATTGGTGTATTTGTAAAATGCATTCAACCTAGTTAAAAGATTACAGAAAAGCTATTATAAACAAATAAAGTTGTAGTCTTGGAGAAAAAGAGGTTTAAAATGAAGTACCCATACAAAATGGAATATTACTTGACCAATACAAGGAACAATGTGACAATGTAAAGGAAATCCAAAAGCATTATATTGAACAAAGGAAATCATACACAAAATGTATATAAAACTTAAGGAAAAGCAAAACTAATTTATAATGTTTGAAATTAGAGTTGTAGTTACCTTGGTGTGGGGGGAAGTGGCTGTTAGAATTGGCTGGAAAGGGGCCTTGGGTAATAGATAGAACTTATATCTTCACTGGGGTGATGATTACTCAGGTGTATATGAAGCAGGAGCATTCCCTGATCCCCCTTGCAGGAGATGTGACAGGGCTGTGGCCAGGCTGTGCACTCAAAGCTCTTACAGGAGGGAGAGTACATAGACAGGCAGGTGCAGGAGCCAAGGTGAGTGCCCCTGGGCTTCGGCCCCATGGCGGCATCCAGGGGTGGGTGTTTGTGACTCCTGAAGCCCAAGTGGGTGCGTGTAACAGTGCATTCTTTTAGCTTTGCCATCCACAGACAGCTTAAGTGTTAAACAGCTCAGTAGACCCTCTGCCCTTTTGCAAGGGCACAGGGCTAGTGTGACAGCTTTCTGTATCTTGAGCTCTTGTCCAGTGTCCAGGAAAAATCAGGCCACACACAGACTTGAAGGATGAATCTGGGGGTTTTATTGAGTGGTGGAGGCGGCTCTCAGCAGGATGGTTGGGAGCTGGAGAAGGAATGGAGTGGGAAGATGATCTGTCCCTGGAGTTTGGCCATCCAGCCGCCAATCTCCTCTCCGACTGCCCCCAGCTGAACTCCTCTTGGTGTTCAGACACTCCTTCTCTTCTCTCTGCCATGCCGTTCTGCTCTTCTTCTGCTCTTCTGTTCATCTCCTTATGGAGCTGGGGTTTTGGGGTTTATATGGGTACAGGATAGGTGGGTGTGGCAGGTCAAAAGGCAACTTTTCAGCACAAAAACAGAACTGCCTGTTCTCATTTAGGGTGAGGCCTTTGCCAGGGAACTGCCTTCTTCTATCCAGTATTTCCCTGTCTCCTATTTGTATCATATACATTTGTCAAAGCTCATTACATTGTACACTTAAAATGTGTATATTTGATTGTATGTAAATTACACCTCAATTTTTTAGTGCATAGATGTACATATATATGCTACACACATATATATATATATATATATATATATATATGCAGTTATCTATGGAAACAGACTTCATATCAAATTCTTTAGATTGGAGGAGAAGGCAGGGAGGGATTACTAATTCTTTCTAGATTTGTTTTATAGATTTGATTTGACAAATTATATTTGTTTTTGGTCTTTCTTTTTTTTTTTTTTTGAGGCTGTCTCGCTCTGTTGCCCAGGCTGGAGTGTAGTGACACCATCTTAGCTCACTGCAACCTCTGTCTCCTGGGTGCAAGCAATTCTTGCCTCCCGAGTAGCTGGTACTGCAGGCACATATCACCACACCCAGCTAATTTTTATATTTTTAGTAGACATGGGGTCTCACTATGTTGCCCAGGCTGGTCTCAAACTCCTGAGCTCAAGTGATCCACCTGCTTCAGCCTCTCAAAGTGCTGGGATCACAGGCGTGAGCCACTAAGCCCAACTTTTGTTTTAATTTTTATGAGCATATTACTCTTACAATAATAAATTTAAAATACAATTTGAATTTTAAAAGGCACTGATTGTAAATACTTTAAAACAGAGGTGCTCTGCACTAACATTGCCCTCCTAACTCTAAAGATGTTGTCTTCCAGGGGCCTGTAACTTAGCTCTATTTCCTCTGGGACTAGGAAGTTGTGAAGGACAGAGCAGCTACTGGACTTGCTCCACATTGTTTGTTTCAAAATAAAGCATACTGGAGAGAAGGAAAGCAACACAGGAGGGGGGGCGTGTAAGAAAACCAGTTCTGAGTTTCAGCAGAAATTTATTAAGGGTCGAGAACAGAAAGGAAAACATTCTGCAAGATCTCTGTTTACAGTCTTCTCCCTTTGTCTCCAAAAACCTTCCCTGTATGCATTTGGAAAATTTCATATGGAATATATATATGCAAAGTCAGCAGTAAACTACTGTCTCTGAAGGAGAACCCAAACCAAAAAAAATTGTATGCAACTTTGAGGCTTGTTGTAAGAGAGCATTATTAACTGTTTTAATGAAGTTAATTCCAAAGGACTTTTAATGATTGCCTTGTTCTAAGCCTTCCCCTTGCCACCAGCTTTTAACTCACCATTCCCTTGGGTTATTTTCCCTGTAAATCCTTTCATTTAATACAAAATATCTGCAGCACCACAACCCAATTGCTAGTTCATGCTAAGGAGCCTTCATTTACCTATACTGGTATTTTGACCTTCTGACATATAAATCCCAGGAGTTTCTAAACTCAGGCAATTAGCGCTTTGAGTTTCTGACTCAGACATCCCTTGCTGCAGGCAGAGAGAAAGTAGCTTTTCATAAGATAATTAACTTTTTGCATGCTAACTTCCTGCTATTAAGTTATTGTTTTGACAGGCATTAGCTCTAGTTTTATTGTTTGGTTGCTGTTGTTTTTGTTTGTTTGTTTTATCCATAGTGATTACAGCTTTTTATCTTCTAGCTCTATAGCAGATTAAAGTTTTATTTAATTCCCTGAAATATATACATGTTTAAATCTATATAATATATAATTAATTTAATTTATATAATAGATATTTATATTATATATCAATTATATCTATAATTTATATATAATAGGTATTTAAATTATATATAATGGATATTTAATTATTATGATCTTTCTCATTCTCGTTTGTCCACATGGTCAGGAGCAAAGACTCCAAGACAGTAGATACAGATAGAAGAAGCCTAATTCTTTAGGTCATCTCAGAGAGATTACCTAGAAGTGATCCTGGGAGTCACCTAGAAGATCCTCTTGACCTGCACCATATATTGTGAAGGCAGGAGGTAAACTCTTAATTTTTAATATCTATTATATATTTTATATATATTTAACATATTATATAGTTACTTAAAATGTAGCTGGAAGAAATGGTTATTTTGAAGTATAGGCCTCTGTAACTTGCTACTAAATAAAATCATTGTGGGCATTGTTTCTGAAAAAGACAGTGGATCTTTGTATATTTATTCAAGGTTTCTCTTATTTTCCAAATCAGCTTGAGATACTCCCAGAGATGAAAAAGGCCTTTAAGAGTTGGAGTTTTGATGTATGTTTAAGCTAGAGGCAAAATAAATCATGCATTATTGTTTACTTCACTTTACCTGTGGTTATAAGTGGCCAACAATTTGTCAATGATAATAAGGAATAGTTTTCTCATTGTAACTTCCTTTACTCTATCTCCTACTGGTATGGACAAGCGGCAGGGAAATACTGGGTAGAAGAGGGCACTTCCCTGGCAAAAGCCCCACCCACGGCCCTAAATGAAAACTTTACATTCTTGTTTTCCCACCCGAATGTGGCTTTTCCCAAAACCATCCTGGCCTGCCACGTCCCCCATCCTGTACCCATAAAAACCCCAAACTCCACTGGCAGAGGAGCAGAGTGGTACAGCAGAGAAAGGGAGAAGAGAAGAAGTGTCTGAATGTTGAAGAGGCAGCAGGATGGTCAGAAGGCCAAACTCTCCAAACTCTAGGGTAAGATTATCTGCCCACTCCATGCCCTTTCCAGCTCCCCATCCTGCTGAGAGCCACCTCCATTGCTCAATAAAACCTCCTCATTCACCATCCTTCAAGTCAGTGTGGCCTGATTCTTCCTGGATGCCAAACAAGGACCCTGGTACCAGGAAGGTGTAAAAAGCTGTCACCCTGACTCTCCACTGTGCTGGTTAACACTTATCTGTCTGTGGACAGCAACTTCTAAAAGAACATTAATTGTAAAACATCCCTAGATGCTACCATGGGGCTGGAGCCCAAAAGCATTCGTCCTGGCCCCAGCACCCACTTGCCTGCATGCTCCCCCTTGTACAAGGTGTCTAAGTGGGCCACACCCCATCACAAGTCCCGCAAAGGGGTCCAGAGAACTCTCCTATCCCACTACTACAATGGCATGACTCATTTTTTGAAAAAGTAAGAACAGATATCTTATTTTTGTGGCCTTCAATATTAACTTACATGCCTGTGAGCTATTCATCAAATATGCATTTTCAGTGATGCTATGTGATCACCAAGCGATTTTTTTTTAATTCCTCTTTCTCTGTGGGCACATGGGAAGACATTTGCCAGATCATGTGCATTTAGTTGGGACCATATAATTAGCTCTGGGAAAGTAATGTGAGTGGAAGAGATGTATATTGCTGGGACTCTGGCAGGTTCTCATGATCTTTCTCATTCTCATTTGTCCACATGGTCAGGAGCAAAGACTCCAAGACAATAGACACAGATAGAAGAAGCCTAAATCTTTAGGTCACCTGAGGAAGATCACTTAGAAGTGACCCTAGGAGTCACCTAGAAGTCACCTAGAAGATCCTCTTAACCTGCACCATATATTGTGAAGGCAGGTGGTAAACTCTTAACTGTATTAAGAAGCAGAGGTTTCAGGGTTTGCTTGTTACTTTAGCACAAACTCTACTGAGAATATCACATTGATGGCAATCATGGCTTTGATTTTAGCAATTTCATAAAGGAGAATATACTTTTGCAGTCAGGTGCAATAAAAAAATTGTCCAGAGTTTTTTCCAACATAGCTCGAAGTTTCAGAATTTTTCTTGGAGCCATATTTTAATATTTTATATCAATGAGCTAGATGATACAAATTTTTCTTGTGTGAGTTGTTAAAAATTTTAGTCGAAGTATACTTGAGAGGTAAGGGGAGCTTCCTTTGGTATTTTTCGCTGTATATTGGCCTCAAAGCTGTATTCCACGAAAGAAGGAAGAAAAGAGGTAAGGAAGAACAAAGACAGGGTTACCAAGATGAGAGCAGGAAAGAAGAAAACTTTTCTGAACATCTTTTTAACTCACAGTTGCAGAGGGGAGAAATTAGTCAATAACATTAGATCAACACTGAGATGATTGCAATGTTTTTTAATAATCCAACTTACAAGTACCTTTACAAATCACAATTTTTATAGCAAAATAAATATTATGAAAATTTGTCATAGTATGATATACAAATAAAAATATTCAATGTTGCATTATATTTTTATTTTTTGAAAAGTTATTTAAGCATAGTTTCTTAAAAATTTTAAAGGATTCAGTAACAAATAATCTTTAATATCACATATGGTGATATTAGGTAAAGTTTCTCCTTGATAAATTATGATTTGAAATCTGGTAATTAGGTTAAACATATTAATTTGAGTAAATCAATGCCTACTGCTTCTAAATAAATTTCCAAATCCTCCCCTCCCCTGGCCTGTAGGGTCCTACAAGACTGGCCCCTATTTCCCTCTAATCTTACCTTTGCTCCCTTTCCTTATTATGCTTCTGCCGTACTCACCACCGTTTTTTTTTTTTTTTCTTTTTGAGGCGGAGTTTCGCTCTTGTTGCCCAGGCTGGAGTGCAATGGCACGATCTCGGCTCACTGCAACCTCTGCCTCCCAGGTTCAAGCGATTCTCCTGCCTCAGCCTCCCGAGTAGCTGGATTACAGGTATGAGCCACCACACCCAGCTAATTTTGTATTTTTAGTAGAGACGGGGTTTCCGCCATGTTGGCCATGCTGGTCTCGAACTCCCGACTCAGATGATCTGCCCCCTTTGGCCTCCCAAAGTGCTGGGATTACAGGCGTGAGCCACCGTGCCCGGTCACTCACTTCCATTTTTATTCCTAATTCCTCTAAGCCCTGCTTCTCTTGAGGGTTGTAATTCTTATTTTTGTCTGGTTCTAGAATCAAAGTTATGTTGGCCTCATAAAAATGGTTGTGAAATTTTCTTTCTGTTTTGGTTATCTGGAAGATTTTGTGTAATACTACTCTTATTCCTCTTTTCATGCGTGGAAGATTATTCACCAGTTAAGTTGTCTAGGATTTTCTTTGTGAGAAAAACTTAGAACAAATTTAGTTTCTTTAATAAATATCCACTATTCAAATTTTCTATGTCTTTGTTGTCAAGTTTGGAAAGTTGTGTATTTTTAGAAATTTGTTTATTTCATTAGAATAATCAGACTTTTATCTTTTTGATGTCTTTAGAATCTGCAGTGAAGTAGCATTTTCTTTTGTATTACTGATAATTTGTGTTCTCTTCTATCTTTTTCTGATTCCTAGCTTGATCCCATTGTGGTCTGAATGCAGGGAACATTTCTTTATCTTGGGAATATGATGATTAATATTATGTGTTAATTTGACTGGGCCATGTGGTACCAAGATATTTAGTCAAACATTATTCTTGTTGTTTCTGTGAGGGTGCTTTTGGATGGCATTAAGGTTTAAATTGGTGGACATTGATGGAGTAAAGCAGATTGCCCTCCCCAGTGTGGTGGGTTGAATCCAATCAGCTGAAGCCCTGAATAGAACAAAAGGCTGACCCTTCCTTGAGTAGAAGACAATTCTCCTGCCTGACAGCCTTTGAACTGGAACATCAGCTCTTCCTGATTCTACAGCAGTTTCCAGCTTTATACTTGAACTGGGACTTCAGCTCTACAGGTTTTAGGCTTGACAGCCTATATAATTGTGTGAACCAATTCTTAGTAATAAATATCTTTATATATATGTACTATTGGTTTTGTTTCTCTGGAGAACCATGACCAATCCAGAGCAGAAGAACAATGTTGTACAATGTGTACGTAAAAAGAATGTTAAATCTGTCATTGTTTGATGTAGCATTCTATATGTGCCAATGAAGTAAGGTTTAATTATGTTTATATCTTCCGTGTACTCACTTAAAAACATTTTCTTTCTATCAGATATTGCAAGAGGTGTGTTAAAGTCTCCATTGTTATTATGTACATGTCTACTTCTCTTTTCTGTTTCTTAATTATATTTTGTACATTTTGAATTCATGCTATTGGATGCATATATATTTAAAATTTTGATATCTTCTGGTTATATTCACCTCTTTGTGAAGTATCATTCTTTATCTCTAGTAAAGAGATAAAGACTCCCTTAAAGACTGCTTTGTCTGAATATTAGTATAGCTATATGAGTTTTCTTTTGGTTAGTGTTTGTAGGAAATTATCTTTTTTACTGCTTTACTTATACTTTTTCTGTGTTTTTATATTTAACATGTGTTTTCTGTATCATGTAAGTATTTTTATTCTAATCTGATAATCTTTGTATTTACGTTGTGACACTTAGTCCATTTATATTTAATATTATTACTGATAGAGTTGGGCCCATGTCTACCATTATATAATTTCTTTTATTTGACTAACATGATTTGGTTCTTTTTAATCCCTTGGTTTCACTTGGATGAAGCAAATTTTTATTCTTCCATTTTTTATTCTACATTTGTTATTTACTTGTTGTTTTACTATTCTTTTTATGTTTTATGCTCTAGGATTACAGCATGCATTCTTTCTATAATTGTCTAATACAAATGATCACTTCTATATTAATGCTAGAATCTTAAAAATCTTTAACTTCATGTATCATTGCCCACTTTTTAAGTAATCATTGCCAATTTTACTTCTCTATATATTTTAAATTTCCCAAGATATTGCTAGTATTATTTTATACAATCAACATTTATTTATATTTATCCACAGATTCATCCTTTCTGATACTCTTCATTCTTTTATGTTTTCCTGTTTCATTTTCTTTTGCCAAAAGAAACCCCCATCAATGATAGACTGATTAATGAAAATGTGGCACATATACACCATGGAATACTATACAGCCATAAAAAATGAGATCATGTCCTTTGCAGGGACATGGATGAAGCTGGAAGCCACCATTCTCAGCAAACTAACAGAGGAACAGAAAACCAAACACCGCATGTTCTCTCTCATAAATGGAAGTTGAACAATGAGAATACATGGACACAGGGAGGGGAACATCACACACTGGAGACTTTCTGGGGGTGGGGGGTAAGGGGAGGGAGAGTATTCGGACAAATACCTAATGCATGAGGGGCTTAAAATCTAGACCAGGGATTGATAGGTGCAGCACCACGGCACATGCATACCGCCAAGGCACATGTATTCCTATGTAACAAACCTGCACATTCTGCACATGGATCCCAGAACTTAAAGTAAAATAAAAAGACACACAAAAAAGAAACTTTATTTAATATATATTTTTTAAAGCAGGCTTACTGGGAATTAACTCAGTTTTTGTTGAAAACCTCTCAGTCACTTTTTTTTTTTTTTTTTTTTTTTGAGAAGGAGACTCTCTCTGTCGCCAGGCTGGAGTGCAGTGGTGCAATCTTAGCTCACTGCAACCTCCGCCTCCCGGGTTCAAGAGATTCCCCTGCCTCAGCCTCCCGAGTAGCTGGGACTACAGGCATGTGCCACCATGACCAGGTAATTTTTTGTATTTTAGTAGAGTTGGGGTTTCACCATGTTGGCTAGGCTGGTCTCAAACTCCTGACCTCAGGTGATCTGCCTCCCAAAGTGCTGGGATTATAGGCATATGCCACCGCGCCTGGCCAGTCACCTTCATTTTTGAAGGGTATAATTTTTACATATGGCATTCTACATTTGCAGGGTTTTTTTCTTCTAACATTTCAGCCATCATTTCATTGTCTTTGGATTTTCTTTTCTTGAGAAATCAGCCGTTTTAAGTGTAATTGCTCCACTTTCAAAGTTAATGTGTCATTTTCTTCTTAACTGCTTTTAAAATTCTCTTCTACATAGGTTTGAACAGAAATACTGCAATGGCCAGATAGCATTTCTTTGTATTGATATTAATTGGATTGTCTTAACTTCTTAACTCTGTGGGTTAATACATTTTTATCATTGTAGAGCCATTATCTCTTAAAAACATTTTTGATGGAGTCTCAGCTCTTTGCTTTTAGGATGGCAGTTCCCTGAATCTTTTCCTTCTGAAAATCCAACTGCATGTGTATTAGAACTTTTAGTTATGTTTTGACACTATTGGTCTTTCACATATTCCTAAGCCCTTTTCTCATTTATTTTCTCAGTACTTCAGTTTGGATATTTTCTATTGACCCATCTTACAGTTAATGAACCTGTCTTATTCTGTGCCTGATATTCTGGTAAACATATTCATTTAATTTTTCCCCCAGATAGTATATTTTTAGTTTTAGAATGTCACTTTGATTCTTTTTTTAGTTTCAAATTCTCTGTTTGTACTCTTCGTAATTTTACTAGGTTTGTCCATATTTTATAATATTTTCTTGAGCATCAAAGCTATTTTTATGTTTTTCTCTGCTAACTCCAATATCTATATCACCTATGAATCTGTCCCTTTCTATTTTTTTCACTTCCTTGGTTATTAGTTGGTTTGTTCTGTATATTGGCAAGCCTAGTAATTGATTGTACATATTGTGCATAAAAAAGAAACTGTAAAGTCAATTTTTTCATTATAAGGTATCTTCTACCAACAAGGATTTACCCTTTCAACTACTATGAAACTAGAATGGAGAATTGATCATCTTCATCCAGATGTAGACTACACTTAGGCTGGAATGCAGTTTGGGTAAGGCTCGGTGTACCTATGATTTATATCTGCTCCGATGGTGTGACCTTCAATAGGCTTTTGATTGAGAATTTAGTGAATCTTTTGTCTCTTGAGTACTAAGAATAATGAAATTTCCATTCTGCTTTTCAGCGTTATATGACTTAGTTATTTAGACTTTTGCTCTACGTATCTTCAGAAAATAGTAAATTTTTGAGATGGAGATTAGCTATATTTGAGGTCTCTTGGGTCTCCAACTTTGCTATTCTAACCCACATAGCTGCCAAAACTGTGATTATTTATCTGTGCTTTAGCAGCAGTTCTCTGTTGTAACCAAGCTCATATTTCATTTTAGCCAAAATCTGCAAATGTCCCCAGAGAAAAAGGAAACTATATAGCTCCTCAGTTTACCTCTGAAATTATCCCCGTTTTTTTCCTGGAATTCCAGTTCCTCCATGCCATTTTGCTTCAGCAGCTAACTGATACCCTTAAAAATGGTTTTTGTAGTTTACTTGGGTTTTCTAGTTGCCATGAATACTTATTTCATCATGCCCTGAAGCATAAGTCTTGATATCCATATTACTTTTATCTTAAGGACTGCTAAAAGTACACAATTAAAATTAATATCTTTCCTATACTATATATTTCTTTTTCCTTGTTTTCCAATAGAGACCTTTTATTGAATCTTTAAAATATCACTAATAGGTCTTAGGAATCATCTGGCATCTCATTTTGTTAAAGACAGCTCTTAGTTCTTACTCATCAGTATGCTGAACTGTTCTTTTTTTCAGATACATTAACACCATACAAAAATTTTCTGATATCCTTGCTTTTAACTGTTATGGTTTGCTGAATCCAAGCAGCTGAAATTGATACAAATTCTTGTCATTTTCTTCGGGAATTAATTCACCTTTCTGGGCTTGAGATATTGAACAAGCAATGCCTGGCCTCAGTTGAAACAAGCAGATATATTTTTTTACCCAAGAAATTTCAGATTTCATCAAGAGACCACTTTCCTGAATAACAACCTTGATGGGGAAGTGAGCACACACAAACCTCATTTTTTAACAAAAGCCCAGTGTAACACCCTTTGTCACGTTCCATACATGACTACAGATAGTGCAAATGGTAGCCAGCTCCTTTCTACTTCTCCATCATTTATCAGCCGAGAGCCTCTTATTTCTCTTCTTAAGGAGGCTGAGCTCTACATTGGTGTAGTTGAGGTCCCTCTGCAGACCCCTTCTGCAGCCCTTCACAATCACTGTACAACCTTCTGAGTGATTACATTTCCTGGAACATAGGCAACCTGCCAAGAACAGGCTTCATTCTTGAAGTAGGTACAGCAAAGAGAGATACAGATTTGTTTTACTATCTCCCTTTAGAACATTTCCATTTTAATGTGTTCAAAACAGAGCTCATCCCTTTATTCTTCCATATCTATAATGGCTCCACCAGGCTCCCATTCATACATCATGTTGGGGATGAGAGATATTGCAATATTAGGTAGAGAAGTCCTAGAAGTCCTCACTGAGAAGATAAACTTGAGGCAAACGCCTGACAAAAAAAAAAAAGGAGCAAGTCTTCTCTTGAAATGTCTGTAGGAAGAGAAGCAGGAATACCAAGCTCAGGGGCACTGTTACAGGAGTGTGCCTAATGTTTCTGTATAATGGCAAGAAGATCAATATAGCTGAGGTTGAGTGAGCAAGGATAGAGTAATGACATGTAAATTCAGATTAGGACTAGTTGAATCATCATCTATACTCTTTATTCTCTTTCAATAGTTCACATCTAATAAAGTCATGGTTTACAAATAAAATAGTTTGTATACACATGCCTCGCTCATAATCATGTTAAAACCACCCTCATTTATGTTGTATTGCCTGTAGAAAATTGCTCATCAGAAACTGAACTTCCTAGTTCTTGGAACTCCTCACTCCAAGTAAATTTCAAACAAAACAGTCTCCTCTGCCACCATCACTGTCACAGTCACAGGATAAGTCATTAAAAATTCCTAACTCTGGATTTTTCCATTACTGTACATGAACAGGCCAATTAAAGAGAATAAAATGGACCAGTTTTTTATGACAGGTAATTTGAATGTTTGAATATGAACAATTACTCTATTTCAATGTCTACGACAATATTAGAAAAAAAAACTGAGAATTTTGGTATTGGTTGTGGATTTTTCAAAAGTCAAATGGATTTGCTGCATGTAAGACTGTGATAGCAAATGAATGAAATGTTCAACTTTCTGTTCTTGGAAAAAATCTGAAATAAATTAATCAGTTAGCTTCATGACTTCTTGGAAAGAATTTCACTAAAAAAGGAGCATCCTGCTCCTTCAGACAACTGCTCCCTAGAGAGCATTTTGAATCTCTCATTGCCCTTCATTCTTTTCCCACATACATCATGCTGACACATACAGCTTTCATAAAATAGCCAAACATGATTATTGTTTTTCTAGAGAAGAAGCAACTTTAAAGACATACAAGGATATAAATGTATGTTGCCATGTAGCTATAGACTTCCTGATTTTTTTACCAACACAGTAAAAACTGGTTTTGTAAGCTCCCTGTATATCCTTTGGGAAACCATCTGTTGTTTTTCTGCTAAATGAGATAACATCAATATGCCTTTCCAGCCATTGCCTTTGATCATCTGCCTCTAATGTAGCACATTTGAGAGGCTTATCATTCCCTCTGTTTGCAAAGAAATGAATTTTCAGATGCTTAATAAATAATGCAAAATTATTTGGAACAAAAAAATCACAGAAACCAAGAAATATGAACGAAAACAGCATTACTACAAGTCTCATTTCTGGGGGAAAATTTTAGAACACCTTTTCATTTTCCTAAGAGAGAAGCAAAACACTGGTTCTTCTGGTTAATGTTGAAGGTTTCTTTTTGTTTGTTTTTTTTTATTGTTTGCAAGAAAATGGAAGATACTATAGCAAGGAATGGAAAAATGAAAAAGATGAAAAAGATAGTGGATAAATTTGCATACCACTTACACTGGATGTTACATTCTAAAATGTTCACACTATATTGTAAAAAATGAAACATAGTATGACTGGGATTAAACAAGGGAAATGGAATATTTATTGGATTAAATTAAATTTTCTTTCATGTTTAGCATAATCTACAGTTGGTACAAATAAGTGAAGCTATGCAATCTTAAAAACACTTTTAAACATCTGTTTTTCACTTGATTTAATAAAGCTAACACCTGTATTTTTATAAAAATAAAATATGTCTAAAAGCCTGTCACAGCTATTATTATAGATGTTATAAGTAAATATAATGTATAAATTAGCATTTTACTATAAGCTATATTTTAAAAGCTGCATGAGAGCCACGCAGATGACTTGTTAATTTGTTTGTTTAGAATCTCAGAAACTTTTTGTGTGTGAATCTGAAGAAAGAAAAAATTTAATTTTTCAGGTGAACTTTAAATTTTATGTTTGAAAGTCCTCCCAGATCTTTTTTTTTTTTTTTTTTTTTTGTGATGGAGTCTCACTCTTTCTCCCAGGCTGGAGTGCAGTGGCACGATCTCAGCTCACTGCAACCTCCACCTCCCGGGCTCAAGCGATTCTTCTGCCACAGCCTCCCGAGTAGCTAGGACTACAGGTGCACACCACCACGGCTGGCTAATTTTTGTATTTTTAGTAGAGACAGTAGAGACAATATGGTTTCACCATATTGACCAGGCTGGTCTCGAACTCCTGACCTCATGATCTGCCCGCCTTGGCCTCCCAAAGTGATGGGATTACAGGGGTGAGCCAACATGCCTGGCAGTCTGACCAGATCTTAAATGAGTGTCTTTTAAAACCACAGGTTAGTCTTTTATCCTAAAATACACTATTTTACTTTATGAGCACATGTAAAGGCCAAGACCACTGATAAGAAAAGAGCTGCTCTAGAGATGTGCAAATGTGAAGAGACAATACAATACACAGATGTCCAAGTTAAGAAGACATGGATGAAACAGGAAGAGAAAGAGAGTGAAGCAAATTCTGAAATACTTACACTTCATAGATCCAGAAGAGCTGATTTGGGCAGTTTTATGAAGGAGGTGCATCACCAGGAGACTTTTCAACAAGAGTTGGGACATCATTGGGCGGAAAGAAGTTGAAAATTGGTTTCAGGCAAGAATGAAGAAGAGATGGTGCCATATAGGGAGAATGAAAAGCAACTGTGAGAAGATAAGATCTTGATGGATAATACTTTCTCTTTGTCATGTTTATTTAATGTTGAATTGAAAGAACACATTAAATTATAGAAAGTCCCTCTGATACTACTCCATTTTCAAGTAAGTATATAAAAAGCCTTCTTAAAGCTTTCAACACTTAAAAACTTCCTGAGCCTAAATCTCTCACACCATAATTAACAAAATAAAGGCAGATGTGAAATACAAATTAAAGTTCTGAAAGCTGAAATTTAATTGGTAACTGATTTGGTGGAAAAATCTGACCTGGTCTGAACTAACACAAAGCTAGTAAATGTACAGGTATGAACTTTTGAAAATCTGAAGCTTTCTGAAGTCTGAAACGCATTTGCTTCCTGAGGGCTTCAGATAAAAATTGTGGATCAATTAGAATCAGTTTTCACCCTTCCTTTCTGCAGTTAAGTAATACCAGCATTTTTTTGGGCAGTGGTGGGGGCGGGGGAGAGTCTTTTTTAAGGGTAATTATATTAACCATTTTAATCTATTTCCTGTTACTTCTTTTGAACTTTCTTCAAATTCTTTATGTCCCTTTCAAAGTGACTGAGTCCAAATTTGGATACAATACTGAAGTCAACATCTGACCAATTCATATTATATGGTTTATTCCATTTCCACCTTTTCAACAACTATAAGTATTTTTAAAAGGATTGTTGTTTGTTCTATTTAGAGTAAACAGGCATGGTTCTTCCTCAATATCAGCTCACAAATGATCAGTATCTAGTTGATGTTTTGCATGGAGCAGGCTGTCAAGATATGTTGGTGAATTTATCAAAACATGGCTGACTACTAAAGTTCTATTCTTGTTCATGCATTGCTGTCTTATGCATACTTTTTTAAATGGTAGCTTATATGCATCCCTGTCTTATGATTCCTATCTTTCTTCCATTTGTGCAATTCCTTTTTTATTCCAAAGTATGTCATTCTAAACTTGTCCTTCCTAAACTTTATTTTTGATGACTCCTCCTTATTAAGATTGTTTTAAATTCTAAGCATAAGTTCCATGATGATAATAATTGCTCTTAGCTTTGGGTCATCTGCAAATCTACAGTGTATTTTTAGACACATGTTTATTTCCAAAAGGAATTACCAAAAATGGCGTAAGTAAATACAGAATAAGAAAATTTAAATATTCTGAAATATTTATTTTACACTTAATCCTGCCACCTTCATTCTGCAGGGAATATACTATAAACATAAATTCTCACAATATGTGTAGTTTTTAGACATGCAGTTTTTAGCATTTCAATCATGTTCCATTACAGCTGAATAATAAACATAGTCCCTTTCTTCAAGAAGCTCATGGTCTTTTGAGGAGGCAAACACATGAACAAATAATTGCAGTACAGAGATTTGAGTGCAATGACATGAGTATGTCCAAGGTACACTGTTTGGGGAAAATTTGAAAGGAGAATACTCAAACAGAATATGACTGGAACTGCTCCTGGTGAGGGAATAGAAAGGATGTTTTGGGGAGATGAAATAACCATAACAGAAATATTAGTGACAGAAAAACCACAACTAAACAGTACACAAAGATGCAGAGACGTGAGGGAAAACATTTAGGGAACTTTAACCTAACCAGTGTAACAGAGTCAAATATGCATATGGGCAAAATTACAAAGGACCACCTGGGCTATGGCAGGACTTTGTCTGAAGGCAATGAAGCACACTGATATGGAACCTTTGCATTTCATTTAAAATAAATTTATTTTTTATTTCCATAGGTTTTTTGGGGAACAAGTGTGTTTGGTTACATGAATAAGTTCTTTAGTGGTGGTTTCTGAGATTTTGGTGCACCCATCGCCCAGGCAGTATACCCTGTACCCAATTTGTAGTCTTTTATCCATCACCATCTTCCACTCTTCTCCCTAGGTCTCCAAAGTCCATTGTATCGTTCTGATGCCTTTGCATCCTCATAGCTTAGCTCCCACTTATGAATGAGAACATACGATGTTTGGTTTTCCCATCTTGAGTTACTTCATTTAGAATAATGGTCTCTGATTCCATCCAGGTTTCTCTGAATGCCGTTATTTTGTTCCTTTTTATGGCTGAGTAGTATTCCATGGTATGTATGTGTGTATATCACAATTTATGTATCCACTCATTGATTGATGGGCATTTGGGCTGGTTCCATATTTTTGCAATTGCAAATCGTGCTGCTATAAACATGTGTGTACAAGTAACTTTTTCGTATAATGACTTATTTTCCTGTGGGTAGATACCCAGTAGTGGGATTGTTGGATCAAATTTTAGTTCTACTTTTAGTTCTTTAAGGAATCTTACGCTGTTTTCCACAGTGGCTGAGCTACTTTACATTCCCACCAGCAGTGTAAAAGTATTTCCTTTTCACCACATCCCTGCCAACATCTATTATTTTTTGATTTTCTTTTATTATGGCCATTCCTGCAAGAGTAAGATGTAATGGCATTGTGGTTTTGATTTACATTTCTCTGATCATTAGTGATGTTGAGCGTTTTTTTCATGTTGTTGGCCATTTGTATAACTTTTTGTTTTGTTTTGTTTTTGAGATAGTATCTTGCTGTGTCACCCAGTCTGGAGTGCAGAGGTAAGATCTTGGCTTACTGCAACATCAGCCTCCTGGGTTCAAGTGATTCTCCTGCCTCAGCCCCCTAGTAGCTGGGATTACAGGCATGTGCCACCACACTGAGCTAATTTTCATATTTTAGTAGAGACGGTGTTTCACCAGATTGGTCAGGCTGGACTTAAACTCCTGACCTCAGGTGATCTGCCCACCTTGGCCTCCTAAAGTGCTGGTATTACAGGCATGAGCCACCATGCCCGGCCCATTTGTATATCTTCTTTTGAGAATTGTCTGTTCATATCCTTAGCCCACTTTTGGATGGGATTGTTTTTTTCTTGCTGATTCGTTTGAGTTCCCTAGATTCCTGATATTAGTCCTTTGTCAGATGTATAGATTATGAAGATTTTCTTGCACTCTGTGGTTTGTCTGTTTACTCTGCTGATTACTTCTTTCACTGTGTGGAAACTTTTTAGTTTAATTAAGTCCCATCTATTTATCTTTGTTTTTGTTGCATTTGCTTTTGGGTTTTTGGTCATAAAGTCTTTGTGTAAGCCAATGTCTAGAGGGGTTTTTCCAATGATATCTTCTAGAATTTTTATTGTTTCAGGTCTTAGATTTAAGTCCTTGATTCATCTGGAGTTGAGTTTTGTATAAGGTGGGAGATGAGGATTCAGGTTCATTCTTCTACATGTGGCTTGCCAATTATCCCAGCACCATTTGTTGAAGGGAGTGTCCTTTCCCCACTTTATGCTTTTATTTGCTTTGTCAAAGATCAGTTGGCTTTAAGTATTTGGCATTATTTCTAGGTTCTCTATTATTTTCCATTGATCTATGTTCTTATCTTATTCAAAAACCTTGTCTTTGAGTCTTCAAGCTCTGAAGTTCTGTCTTCTGCTTGTTCGATTCTATTGCTGAGACTTTTCAGTGCATTTTGCAATTCTCTAAGTGTGTCCTCCATTTCCAGGAGTTGTGATCATTTTTTATTTATGCTGTCTATTTTTCACTGAAGATATTTTTCATTCATATCCTGTATCATGTTTTTGATTTCTTTAATTTGGACTTCACCTTTCTCTGACACCTCCTTGATTCGCTTAAGAGTTGTCTTTCTGAATTCTTTTTCTGGCAGTTCAGAGATTTTGTCTCTGTTTGGATCCATTGCTGGTGAGTGAGTGTGATCTTTTGTGGGTGTTAAAGAACCTTGTTTGGCCATATTACCAGAATTGTTTTCCTGGATTCTTCTCATTTGGGTAGACTATGTCAGAGGGAAGATCTGAGGTACAAGGGCTGCTGTTCGGTTTCTTTTGTCCTGTGGAGTGTTCCATTGATATAGTGCTCTTCCCCTTTTTCTAGGGATGTGGCTTCTTGAGAGCCAAACTGCAGTGATTGTTATTTCTCTTCTGGATCTAGCTACCAAGCAGAGCTACCTGGCTCCAGGCTGGTACTGGGTGGTATCTGCACAGAAACCTGTAATGTGAACCATCTTCAGATTTCTCAGCAGTGGATAGTAGCATCTGCTCTGGTGGAGGTGGCAGGGGAACAAAATGGTCTCTGTGTGGGTCCTTAGTTGTAGTTTTATTTATTGCACCAGTTTTGTGCTCGTTGGCCTCGAGCCAGTAGGTGGCACTCTCAAGAGAGCATCAACTGTGGTAGTATAGGGAGGATCAGGTGGTGGGTGGGGCTCTAGAGCTCTGAAGATAATATGTTATTTGTCTTTGGCTACTAGGGCAGGTAGAGAAAGACCATCAGGTTGGGGCTGGACTAGGTATGTCTGAGCTCAGACTCTCCTTGGGCAGGGCTTGCCGCATCTGCTGTGGGGGGATCCGGGTGTGGTTCTCAGGCCAATGGAGTTATGTTCCCAGGAGGATTACAGCTGCTTCTGCTGTTCCGTGCAGGTCACCAGGGAAGTAGGGGAAAGCCAGCAGTTACAGGCCTCACCTAGCTCCCATGCAACACAAAGGCCCATCTCAGTCTCACAGTGCCCCCATTAATAGCACCGCGTTTGTTTCCGGGCAACGGGTGAGCAGGGTTGAGAATCTGTCTTATGCTACCAGCCCTCTGGCTGTGAAAGTAAGCAGAGTTTTCAGGTTTCATGCCTCCCTGGCTGCTGTGGCTTCTGTGCTGTGTCTGCACTCCAGATTCACCCCTGCCCCCGAGTCCTGTCCAGGAAACTCTGTTAGGTTGAAATCATTACAAAGTTCAGCTGGAAGTTTCTTTCTCCCTGTGGTCTTTTCCCAGTTCCTCTAGCAGCCCTCCCCAAGGACCTCTGCAAGGCAAAGTCATAAATGGCTTTCCGGGGACTGAGAGAACCCACGGGGCTCTTCCCACTGCTTCTTCTACCCCTGTATTTTGCTCAGCTCTCTAAAATTGTCTCAGCTTCAGATAAGGTCAGATTCTTCTCTTGTGATCTGGACCTTCAGGTTCCCCAGTGAGGGTGTGTGTTCAGGGGTGGACGATCCCCCTTTCACACTTTCACACTTAGGGTACTCACAGTTGTTGGGCTGTCCCCAGGGGGCCTTCAGGAGCAATCAACTTCCTTCAAAGAGTCTGTGGATTCTCTCGGCTTTTCTGGTATGTTCCTGCAGTAGTTCTTGGAGCAAAAGTTCACAATGTGAGTCTCCACAAGCTACTCTGTCTGAGTGAGAGATGAAATTTAGTTCTGCCTCCTATCTACCATTTTTCTTTGCATTTCAGAAAGGTGTTTCTGGATGTATTACAGAGGATAGATGGAAGGTACAGAAATTTGGAGAAGGGGAGTTGTCATAGTAAGAGAGAAGTACTGATGGCCGAACTGAAGTGATTTGCGAGAACAAAACAGAGAGGGATAGGGAAATAGGGAATGATGTGGAGGTTAGAGATTCACCATAGAGTATTGGTAGTTTAAAATCATTCATGGTTGGAAGAGCCACAACACATAAATTAGCAAACACAAAAAATGACTTTTTTTTTTTTTTTTTTTTTTGGAGAGCTCTTGGTTAAATATTTACCGGCATATGTCACTGAGAATATATTTGGAATAGAAACAAATTTATATTCTATATTTCTTTAGCTTGTAAAGATAGTCATATATTATGTTAGTGGCACTGAGAGCAAACTACCTACTAAATTGTTTTCATTATTTGGAGTCTTTTACAAAGACCATCCCTTTTCTCTGTTTTGCAAGGAAAAAAAATAAAGGAAAAGGGTTGCGTTTAGGGGTTATCACATGACTGGAAAAAGTGTTGAAAAGTCCTCTGCAGGTCTCTGCAGCTTCAGGCAGCTTCTGAGTTGCCAAGTATATTTATTTATATGGGCTCAGAGGGGCTTTATGGTTAGAGTTGTATACTGTGTGAATTTTTGAGTTTTATAATATGAACAAATGAAAGAAATACATTCTAAAGAATGGAGTTATATTAAGAATGTTGCCTGAAATAATAGTCCCTGTAATAAAAAATAAAGGATAATGCTATAATTTGAATGGATTTTTGAGGGTGTATATAAGTTACAATTATTAATATATGGCTCTATAGAAAGCCACTCATAAATAGATGTATTTATAATGTTGACCTGGTCTTTCCATTATGAATACAGATAACTACTTTTAGTGTCTTTCTCTGATCATGAGTGCATTTATAATAGATTAGCTGATGTAATTATTTAAAGTTTATTCTGTAAGTAGTCATAGAAATGAGACTTTGATACTGGAAGTAACTATCATAAAATGCATTAAGACCCTTTTCTTCCATTTTCCGTATTAGATATATTTAAGTTCTGTATGCTATAGCCGCATACAGAACTAACTTCCTTCCTTCCTTCTTTCCTTCCTTCCTTTTCCTTTCCTTTCTTCCTTTTATTTCCATCCTACTTCCTTCATTCACTCTTTGTTTCTTTATTAGGTCTTAAATTAAAATTTAGAGTTAATTTAATCACATGCCTCAAACATTTAAAAATCAAATAAAAATTCACAGTGGAAAATATTTTCACATTTCTGGTCCTTCATCCTTCCTGTTCCCATTTCCTTCTTCCTCACAAGTGACAAGCATGGCACATCAAATCACAGCTTTAACCAGACTCCTATGCATATATATATATATATAGAGAGAGAGAGAGAGAGAGAGAGAGAGAGAGATAGATAGTTATAAGCATGTATATAAATATAAATATATATATTTATATTTAAATCTTATCTACAGATTGATCTATAGATCTATCTTATCTATCTTAAATGTCTGTGTATTTAGATTTAGATTTAGATCTTATCCATATATAGATCTTATCTATATATATATTTTATGACAACTATGAAAATAACTGTTATTTTGCATTTTAAGTATTAATTTGTCTACTTACTTTTAGTAAGGATCAAGATGCAGTCTAGAAAATGATCTCAAACATCCCTCACTTATGCCTGGTAAAATTTACTCATAGGTTCTTGAGGATCTACCTTCCAACAGGCCAACCAATCAGAAACCTAGTAGGATTTGAATAGGTCTGCCTTACGTTCCACCTAGGAATTAACAAGGGTGACAGAGCTGAGATTTATCAGAAGGTAAAACAAAAATTGGCTGAGCACGGTGGCTCACACCTGTAATCCCAGCACTTTGCGGGGCTGAGGCGGGCAGATCACGAGGTCAGGAGATGAGACCATCCTGGCTAACACGGTGAAACCCCGTCTCCACTAAAAATACAAAAAAAATTAGCTGGGCGTGGTAAGTGGGTGCCTGCAGTCCCAGCTACTTGGGAGGCTGAGGCAGGAGAATGGGGTGAATCCGGGAGGCGGAGGTGGTAGTGAGCCGAGATCGTGCCACTGCTTGGGCGACAGAGAGAGACTCCGTCTCAAAAAAAAAAAAAAAAAAAGAAAAAGAAAAAGAAAAAAGGGGGGAATGAGATAGCTTCCAAAGTGAGGGAGAACAGCAGGAACAAGCCTTTGAAAGAATTGTACCTTTCTACATGGCCTCTGCTTTCCTTCTGCCAAGCAGTTCTCCAAAATGAGAAGGTTAAGAAACTTTGTCACAGACACAAGGACATATGTGTATAGAACCAAGAACTCCCAAGATAGGGGAAAAGAAAACAACTCTAGGAATCCCAGGGTATGGTTCAAAAAAGAATGAAAATAATTTGATTTTAAAGAGATCTGAATATGTTATCCACCCCAAAAGTATATTTCACAACTATCCAGTTTAGTGATATGCAAGTTTGACTTCTTGGTTTCATGTTAATAAACACACCAGCAGCTTTCTGATAAAGAATATGTAGATCTCACACCTAGTCTAGCAATATTAATAAAATATACTTTTTCTAATCTTCTATTTTATAAAAAACATTGTTGACATAACCTTTCTATTGTAGTTCATTTTTGGCTCCACTTATTTTTCGACCTGTCTTTTTCTTACTTATATGTTTTTTCGTATCACATTTATCTTTGTTATACATCATAAATTCTTTATTTTTAGAGAAACATTGCATATGGTTGAATTACAAAAGTAAATTATTCAAGTAGAGAAATGTTGATGGTGACATTTCATTTGAAAATTGTTTCTGGAACAATATGGTTACAGGTAAGTAAATTAAATAAGGCCCATAGGGAAATGTTAGAACACACATTTCATCCAGGATATAGCCACTTGAATGTCTTGAGGTCAATTGTTTACCCAGAAATACCAATAGTATCTGCTTGCTCCCTGGCTTGCTGAGTGGGTGTACATTCTCTTCTCTCCTCCTTTACCCCTTCTCCTTTGTAAACGTACACTGTTTTAAAATCTCGGATGCACAGACAGAAGATCATGACTCATAAATTTTGTTTTGTTTGGTTTTGATTCAGAATTATATACCTGTTGGATTGTACTCAATAGTAAACTTTGCAGAAGTATATGAAGCAAAACCTCATTATATTTACCAAAATGTAAACATAGAGATTGTTGATTGAAATAAACAGACTTCAAAACAGTATATATAATATCACATTTGTTTGTTAAACAAATATACATTTTTTTAAAAAGTATTTCTTTCACAGAGTAAGATCTGGGAAGACATCCACTAAGATATTAGCAGTGTAGATCTCAGGGTGATAAGAATATTTCTTATTTATTTTTCAAAAACTTCATTGTAGCATAAATTACCATTCTATGAACTCAGATGTATCAAGTGTAAACCGCTTCACTACTCACACGTACATTATATTCTACTAGTAATCATTAATATTGCAGGCTTCTTACATTAGTGTTATTACAAAAACCAATTTTATGAAAATAAAAAAATTAATAAAAGCAACCAGTCAGAGAATGTGCCAGAACAGTGCTTGATGCTGGGATATAATAAAGAGCCAAATACCTATAGTCTTTTTTTCTCATGATGCTCAGAGGCTAGTGGGACAGAAAAACAGACAAACCGATTAAGGGTTGCACTTACCACAGTGTATAGCCATAGAAATGTACAATCTGTTCACTTTAATGTATACATGTTTGGTATCTTAGAGGCTACTCATAATTTAAATTTAAAATAAATTTCAGGTTGAGCATGGTGGCCCATGCCTATAAACCTAGCACTTTGGGAGGCCAAGACGAGAGAACGGCGTGAGCCCAGGAATTTGAGACAAGCTTGGGCAGCATGGCAAGACCCCATCTCTATAAAAAATTTAAAGGTCAGCCAAGCACGATGGCGTGTGCCTGTGGTGACAGCTATCTGGGAGGCTGAGGTGGGAGAATCACATGAGCTCAGGAGGTTGAGGCTACAATGAGCCATGTTTGTACCACTGCACTCCAGGCTGGGTGACAGAGTGAGAACCTGCATCAAAAAAATTAAAAGTATAAACATAAATAAAATACATTTAATGGGAGATCAAATAAGCAGCTAGACCTCATAAGAATCTGAATAAACCATTTCTGATATTATTGATCTACACGATGCATTGAAAAGTGAATTTATATCCCTCCAAAAAACTTTTATGTGGGCATGTGAATTTGTATATGCTTTCAGAAAAAACATGATATCCGACAATACCTATTATTTGAATCTAGCTTTTCACTTAATATTCCTAGGGCAGTTTTCCATATCATCATATAAATCTACTTTATTCTTTTAAATTCTGCATTAAGCTTGGCAATTTATTTAACCAGTGATCAACATTGATTTCAAGTTTCTTGTTATTAAACACATTTCATGGAATATCTAATATCTATGTATCCATATATTTTTGTGGTCTGTGTAATATAATTGTAAAATAAATTTCTAAATTGGTAATTATGGCTAAAGAGTGTTAAATATTAATTTAAATAAATAGGTCCAAATTGTCCTTTAAACAATTTTGCCTCTACTATCTGTGTATGAAAGTTTTTGCTTTATCACACTAATTTTGTCAGGTTATTTATTATTTAGTAAATTTCTTTGCATATTTTAATTCTAAATACAGTTAAACATATTTTCAGATTTTTGTTAAATTTTTTAGTAAATTAACATTTGCTTTTTTCTCATTCCTTTCACTCCACATTCATTTCACAATATTTGTTTATGGCCAATAATGTGCTAAGCATAATTAGAGATACTAGAAGCATAACAGTCAAAAAACAGAAGAAAACATTTTCCTCATAGAACCTATATTATAGAAGAAAGACAAAAAAGAACAATATAGATACTATAGTATTAAAAATGTTAGGTGGTGATAAGCTCAATGGTGAAAAAATGATTAAGAAAAATGGGATAGGAAATGTGAGGCATGAGGTTGGGCTATTGGGTAGCACATTCAGTGAAGGCTTCAGAGAAGGTGACCTTTGCATAAAGACCATAGGAGGTAACAGGAAAGTGATGTTATATCCAGGCCAAGAACAGCCCATACTCAGGACCTGCAGGTGCAAAGACTCTGAGCAAAGATCAACCCAGGATGCTAGAGTTGCTGGAGCTGAGCAAGCAAGGGAGGGGAGCCTTGCAGGACTCAAGATCAGCTTAGTAAAGAGAGGCCAAACCAAGGAGGGTGCTACAGGACTTTGCAGGCCATTTTAAGGAAACTTGCCTTTCATTCTGAGTATGATGGAAAGCCCTTTGAGGTTTTGAGAGAGAAGTAATCTATGACTCAGGTTTTTCACAGGATCACTCCAATTGTTGTACTGAGATTCAACTGTGGGGTGGAAGGAGTGCAAAAGCATGGGCAGGGAGACCAGGGGAAAGGTTACTGCAGTAAATCATGGTAGAGACTCTGATGCCTTGGGCCTGAGTAGTAGGAGTGGAAGGGGTAACAAGTGGTCAGATTCTGAATATGCAGATGGTTCCTGACTTATGGTTTTACTTAATGATTTCTTGACTCTAAGATAGTGCAAAAATGATACTCATTGAGTAGAAACTGTACTTCCAATATACATACAACGATTCTGTTTTTCACTTGCAGTATAATATTCAATGAATTAAATGAGATATTCAGTACTTTATTATAAAATAGGCTTTGTATTAGATATTTCCCAACTGTAGGTTAATGTAAGTGTTCTGAGCAGGTTTAAGGTAGGCTAAACTCAGCTACAATGTTTAGTTGGTTAGGTGTTGATATGATTTGGCTCTGTGTCCCAACCCAAATCTCATCTCAATTATTAATCCCCATGTGTGGGGGAAGGGACCTGGTGGAGGGGGGGCGGTGACTGGATCATGGGGGCAGTTTCCCTCATGCTGTTCTTGTGATAATGAAGGTATTCTCACAAGATCTCAGGTTGCAAAAGTTGCGGATTTCCCTGTGCCCTCTTTCTGTCTCTCCTGCTGCCTTGTGAAGACGTGCCTTGCTTCCCCTTCACCTTCCTCCATGATTGTAAGTTTCCTGAGGCCTCCCCAGCCATGCAGAGCTATGAGTAAATTAAACCTCTTTCCTGTATAAATTACCCAGACTTGGGTAGTATCTTTATAGCAGTGTGACAATGGACTAATACAGATGTATTAAATGCATTTTTTATTTCTGATATTTTTTACTTACCATGCCTTTATTGGGATGTAACCCTTTGTAAGTCAAGGAGCATCTGTAAATATATAAAGTCACAGGATTTACTGATGGGTTGGTTATGGAATAAGAGACAATAATAAGGATGACTCTGATGTTTAGTAAGAGCTTTTGTGTAAGAAGGACATTAGATTTTGTCAGTCATTTGAAGTTGTTATGTGGTAATGTCCAATATGTCTTGTTAAGTGACCTTCACTTACACTAACTAACTAACAACTAACACTGTAATAGGCTGGCTGGTTGCAATTGTTGTGATAAGGTAATGTGGACTTTATTCATTGATTAATTAGATAAATATATATATTGAATGCCTACATAGAATGGAAACACTATTCTAGGCTCTGGGTATACAATTTTAAGTAAGATACATAGATTCACCATAATCATAACACACATAGATCAGGAATGTTGAATCATTAGGCTACATTTATAATTAAACATAAGTGCTTATTCTATACAGATATTTAAAATATAGTTAATACCATAAAAATTGTAGGAATTATTTTCTATTTTCCACCTCCTATCTGGAGTATACTACTTATCCTTCTCTTTCCTAAGGCTGTGGGTCCCATCAAGCTCAGAAAATAAGGGCAGGAAAAACTAGACAACCTTAGCAATGCTTTCTAAGATTAAAAAAAATATAGTCAAGGCAAATATAATCACACTTCTGAGTTATGCTGTAAGTGGCAAATAAAGTCAACAACAACAACAACAACAAAAAAACTAAACAAGAAAAACAAAACCAGTCTGATTGTCTCCTAGATAAGTGGTCCTCAGTGGAATAAGGTGATGATTTTGGCACCCAGGGGATATTTGGCCATGTCTGTAGACATTTTTGGTTGTCATAACTGGGTGGAAATTTGCCACTGACATTTAATGGGTAGAGGGCAAGGATCCTGATAAAAATCACACAATGCATGGAGCAAGTACTCACAGCAAAGGATCATCTGGCCCAAAATGTCAATAGTTCTGAGATTCTGAAACTCTGACCTAGATAAAGGTTCTTAAAATATAAAATCTAAGTATTATGAATTAGCAAATAAAGCCCTACAACTATTAATGCTGGTTTATCTAAAATACTTATCTCTATGGATGTTATCTACTTTGGTATTATTAGTCAAAATATTGAAGCAGATTAAATAAGCAACAAAATCTGAAAAGTATGTCATCACAAAATTAATTTTAAGATTAACTATTTTGCCCAAGGTCATGAAGTGAAAATAAAAGAGATACAGCTGGAAAACATATCACATATCAAGACTTTGACTGTAGAGAGCTAAAGACAATGTGAAATAAACCACCAATTCATCTGGGTTATACCGTGAAATCTACCCCTGTAAGCAGACCTGTATGGGAACTAAATTATAATCAGAAGATAACTTCATGAGTATGGAATTAAACATAAAAAGATTTATTTATTATCTAAATGATTACGTGTATGTTATACAATATCAAGTAAATAAACCATTTTAACCATCATTAAATCATAAATGTTTTAACTATTGACAAAGATATTAAACATATTCCTAACATATGACTATAAATAAGCAATTACATAAGGAAACACTAAAGATATAATAACTAAAAATTCTGTGTCATTTAGAATGATTTTGTTGCAAGTTAAAAAAAAAGGCCTATCTCAAAATGTTGTGGACAATAAGTGGGTTTTCTAGTTCACATAACAAGAAGTCAAGAGGTGGTTTGGGTTGATCCTTAACTATATCATCAAGGGTTCAGGGTCTTTTGATCTTTCTGTTCTGACATGTTGACCTGTTGGCTCCTGTCCTTAAGCTTGTCCTTGTCCTTTTGTGGTTGTAAAAATGACTGCACCAGCACCAAGCACACATCATCAGATAATGGTATAAAACGTTACAAGAGGATTTCATATTTTTGTGTTCCTTTTAAAGAGAAAGAAATTCTCTTATTTGACCAATGAAACAAGAGGACGTTTCCTGCTTTAAAGGAAATTTCAAATTAGTCTCATTGATCAAATAAGTCACATGCCCATTTTGTTAACAAATCTTTTATGGGAATGAAATGACCATGATTTTTCTGCATCATTGGTTCACAAATTTTGGTCTCAGACCCCTTTATAACCCTAAACATTATTAAAGATTTCTAAAAGTCTTTGTTAATGTGGTACATCTATCAATATTTACCCTATTTGAAGTTAAAATAATTTTTGATAATTGATTTACTAATTAATTTTTAAATAATAAACCTATTACATAACATAAATATTTTATAAAATATCTATATTTTCAAAAAATATTTAAAGAGAAGGGTAGCATTGTTTTCCATTATTCCAAATCTCTTTAACATCTAATTTAGTATAAAACATTTAGATTCTCATATCTGTTTCTGCATTCAATCTCTTGTGAGGCATTCTTTTGGTTGAAGTATATAAAGAAAATCCAGCCTCACTGAGATATGTAGTTGAAAAGGGAGAATTTAATAATCTTTTCAAAATAATTGTAGCTATTCTTTAATACTACATCAAAACTTGACATGTTTTAATATCTTAGAGGTTCATTGTAATGTGGAATCTGAAGCCATATCAATTACTTTTCTTACTATGTTACCTTAACAATCTATTTGTTTATTTTGCACTTTGAATGGGTCTTCTACACATGCATGATTTTGTAATAGCTTGAATTGATCATTTACAAAATATTTGTTTTCTGAATTATACAGATATTCCAAGTGTTGACACATTTCCTTCTATGATATCAAAGCATCATATTTTAAATGTCTCCATTAATTTCATCCAAAGATCCGTTAAGAGTGAGGAAGCTGTGCATGCTCACAGTGGAGTATACGTTTTCTAAAATTCTAAATTTTGCTTAAAAGCCCAAATTTTATCATAGGCAACAAATGTTACACATTGACAGTTTATTGAGAAATGGCTGTTAAAAACTGAAGTCTGATAACCATAGCTTTTCTGTGGGTCATCTTTCAAATAAAAATGCTGCTCCATGAAAAAAACAGTGGTTAATTCAGCTCTCAACTTTAAAAATCAAACAAGCATTTTTCTGTGAAATAATCATTATACTTCAAAATGCAGTGTGTTTTCCATGTATAACAATAAACCTAATGTATTAATGAGTTTGTTTCTTCACAAGGAATTCCAAAATGACAAGCATTCAAGAGTCAAGTTTTAATAAAAGTAATAATTTGTACTGTTTCATGAAGAAAATTCTTAATGAAACTTGATATTCTTTCTGTCTTATTTTGAGTGTATGGTGGTGAACAATACAATGGCTATCGGCAGAGTTTTTGCCCTTGCCTTGCTTTGTGTTGAGGTGCTAGAAATTTTACCCAGCATTACTTTTGAGCTATCAGTTCAAATGTCAACACAATAACACAATAAAAAGGTAATTAGTTCATTACTACTTGTATAAGAATAATTTTGATATTTTAAAATTATTCTTCTCATATTGATATTTGATTATTTGATAATATTGTGTATTGTCTGTAGACAACATTTTGAGAACCACTGCTCCAAATTGAGATTCACCCATTGGGGTTAGAGTTTAACTGAGTGCCCTGGGAGCATATTCACCCATCACCTGAACAAGCCTATGGTTCTGTTAACAGGAACTATGGCATGATTGATGAGCAAGCAACTATTAACAACATTGTATGCCATGGTTTATACATTTAAGATAAGCTTAGTTTATTAAGTGAAACTATTTTCTGTCAGGTGAAATAAGCCCTATGCCTGTCTGTAAAGTGAAATTTGAGAGTGGAAAACGTACATAGTATAAAATGTCTTACATATTGCTGTAAATTCAGTAATTTACAACCTTATTCCCTTACTGGTTAGATCTATTTTAGTAGTATTCCTGATTTCATTACTTACTAACTGTGGATTTAGGTAAGTTGCTTTGCCTCTTTAGGTCTTAATTTTGTACATTTAAAGTGGATACCTTGTAACATGTTCTACTACGTGGTTATGGATAAGTATATTCTATTTCTAGCTAAAAAATAACTTAGTGCTCAGAGTGCTTATGCTGAAGCCAAAAAATTGGAAGAAATATTTCTTTAATCTCGATAAGAAGCCTAACGGAGCCACCATTAGTTGCCGTTAGCATACAATTTAACAAACCTTACCTTCTATTGTATGCTACCTTTGTACTTACCTGCTGTGGGTGTAAGAATATATTTAACTTCTGAGTGATTTGTGTAATAATTTCCCTTAGAAGTTAGCAGCATATTCAAGGAAAGACTTTTGTGTCTAATTTTATTTGAAATATGTGTTTCCAATTTGGTTTTTACTGAGAAAAAAATAGTGTCTCTTCAAGAGAACAACAGGTGACCTTTAAAAATAAAATGACAGAAGAACTATGTGTACTCAGTGAAATTTGCATAATTTCAAATTCAAAAATTAACTCAAGGGAGGACTCTTAAGTCTTCAAGCAACCTTAGTGTACTTTGAGAGCCCAGAGATGAAGCATTGGGAAGTGTATTTCAACTAAAATAAGAAAAGGAAATTTTTAAAAAATTAACCTTTATAGAATCTAGTAAACTGCCCAAGCTCTTCTCTATTTCTTCTATCTGTTCAAATTTGTTTCATTCTTTAAAGTGTCAGTTTGAATACTTCCTCTTGTATGCAGTTTCTCCTATCTTCTTCAAGCCTCAGAAATTTAATTTTCCTCTGGATACCTACATTCTGTACCAAATATTTTAACACTTTATTCCATTGCATATTGTTGTTTCATGACTTTTAGTCTTGTTACCTGGATTACAGGTTTCTTTTGGTAAGAAATTATAATGTATAGGTCTTTTATTGTTCCCTATTGCTTAATACAGTGATGAGCACATAGTGGGTAAGTAGTAAATGTTTGCTGCTTGTTTTCAACTCTTTATTATGGTAAACTTGAAAATAATATAATGAACCCATGAGTCTATCACCAGTCTCAACAATTATCAACTTATGACCAATTTTATCATCTCATCTGTATCCCTACATATTTCCTATCCCTGGATTGTTCTGAAGCACATGCCTAAGATCTTATCATTATATCTGTGCTTCAGTATATTTATCTAAATATAAGAATTATTTTAAAGAATAAATCATTATTCAAATATACCTAAAAAGAATTAAATATAATTACATGACAATATATAATAATTTGTCATTGTTCAAAATTTTCTTGGTTATCACACTTTATTTTACAGTTTGTTGGAATCAGGATCTATCTATATAAGATCCATAATTACCATTGATATATGCCTCTTAACTCTCTAATAATCTCTAGGTTACCCTCTTATCATCCATTTTTTCTTGAGATTTATTTGTTGAAGAAAGAGAATGGTTTGTCCTATGGAGTTGCCAACATTTGGATTTTGTTGAATGTATCTCTGTTATGTTATTTAATAAGTTTCTCTGTTCTCTGCTTCTAAAATCATTGTAGTAAGATCTAAAGGCTTGATAGGATTCCAGTTTTTTCTTTTTCAAAACTACTTCATAGATGAAAAGTGTGTAATTCCATCTGGAGACACAGAATAACTGATTGTCTCTTTATGATTTTAGCCGCCTTTGATGTTTGTTGCATAAATCCATTCATTCATTAGAGTGGTGAAAGTCAACATCTACTATTTGTTAGTTGGAATATTTCTTTAGAGAGGAACATCCTCTAATCAAATTTGAGGGACATTTTATTACTATGATGAACAGTTATTATAAAAAGACAGGAAAATGATTTGTCCTTTAACTCTATTTACTACTTTTCAGTGGGTTCCCTAGCAGTCCCCAAAGGTAGTCAATGAATTATTTTGTATTATTAGGATTTAAAGAATTGTTACATTGGCATCAAATGATCTCAACTTTGGCCCTTAAAGATCTCTTTGAGTTGACTTTAGAATATTTTTGATATGAGCACAAGAGTTTTTTATAGCCTTCTAGTTATCTGGTATGACAAAATATTCCAAAATAATCTTAAATATTTCCTGATATGAGATGTATAAGATGATTATACATTTATACATTTGACCTGTGGTCAGCCATTTCCACAAGGAGCTCTTTTTTTTTTCTTAGTAAGGAATGGTATTTATAGACCCAAGTCTGATTGCTGGGGTACTCATTTCTATTTGCTGCTCAGTGAACAGAAGTAAGAGGATATTTCATGCTGATGTTTCCAATATATATTCAGGTCCATAGGATTATTTTCCTAACTTCACCTCTCTTACACTTACATCTATCCTTTTTCTCCCGACCTGGAAACCCCAGTTCTCAATGATACCAACATAAGTACTAATTATCATTATCCCACCATACACAGACAATGGTCTCAGAATTACAGTACCAACACTACTATTGATTACTGAAAATAGGTTAAGCTTTTTCAGTTTTTCTTGATCTTATAATATATCCAATTAGTGATGTACAGTCAGATCCCTGTGTTTTAAAGTCAGTTAAAGTTATTTCTCACTGGTTATGCCATTGACTTGATACACAGGTAAATGCATTTGCTTCATATTACATTTTATGTTAAGGGTTACTGTATTTAAAACATGTTTATAACTAGGTAAAATATGTGCAACTTTCATATTTAAGTCTACAAAACAAAGCATATTTAGAAAAATCTAGTTTATATTCCAATCCACTCTCCTATACGGTAAATAAAATTATAATTTATTCTCCCATTAAATATATAATATAAATAATATAAATATATTTAACATACATTTGTTTACAAATGATACATATTCATATAGAAATACACATATGATTATATTTAATATGCCCCTTCTTGGACAGTTGCATTCTCTAAACACTTTTATCTATTTTTCTTTTCCACTTATCATATACTGGAGAATACTTCATAGCAAAATAAAGAAATAGCCGCACTGCTTCACTGCTTTTGCATCTGCCTATTAGTTCATTGTGTGTGTGTGTACCATATTTTATTCAATCAACTTTCTATTGCTAGGTATTTAATGCTGTAATTGATAGACTTGGCTATACTTTTTTTTTTTTTTTTTTGAAATGGAGTTTTACTCTTGTTGTCCAAGCCAGAATGCAATGGCGCAATCTTGGCTCACTGCAACCTCCGCCTCCCTGGTTCAAGCGATTCTCCTGCCTCTGCCTCCCAAGTAACTGGAATTACAGGCGTTTAACAATGTATCTTTGAGTTAAATTTCTACAAGAGGATTTGCTACGTCACAAGGAAAATACATATGTAAGCCCTAAGTACTGCAAATTTTCTTCCTTCTGAAATGGATAAATGGTATCTCAGAATAGCATAATTTGCATTTTTAAATTATAGTGGAGCCTGGGTATTTTTTTTCATGTTGTCAAAGGCCATTTGCTTTTTATTTTCAAATTTTTTCTTCATGTTTCTAGACCTTTTTTTTTCTGTTTTATGTATTAGGTTGTTAACTTATTTGTGTGTGATAAATGTTGTTTTGTTGTTCAATTTTTTTTTGTTTGTCTTTGCATATGATGGTTTTGGTATGCAAAGAGATTTTGAAATTATGTAATCAAACATTATTTTGCCTTATTGCTTTTGAATTCTGGTCATAGTTGGGAAAATATTCTTCAAAATTTCTACAGAAGAAAGTTACAGTAGGTAGCTAGTCAGACATAAGCAGAACAGGAGAGGGCTCCTTCCTGCACGCCCCACCAGGAATGTCAGGTGACCATTTAGGTGACGGTCAGGTGGTTGTTAACTGTCTCTCCAAAATAATAATTGGTCACAGCCAGTGCCAGGGAAAGGCAGTTTCCCAGTAGGTGCAAAACACCTGAAACTGGTGATCAGCAGCTTCCTGGAAAGATCTCAGGGGTTGGGGGAGTGGGCTCAAGCATGTGTATTAAGAGGCAAAATGGCAGAGTTTAACTGGTATATAACTTGTTAGGGACATTCAACTGGCAAGGGAAGAATGCCTCAAGGGAGCATGTGTACAACTCCAGTAAGCACACTGTGCGTGCTCCCCTCCCAAATGCTAGCAGGACACTGCACATGCAGACAGCCCACCCCAAGGGAAGAATCAGGGGAGATGGGATGCAAGACTCCAGAAGTATGCATGCCAGTGTATAAAATCCCAAGTCAAAAGGTCAAACTGCACATTTGATCTCTCAAGTTGCACACTTAGCCCTCTTTCAAATGTACTTTACTTCCTTTTCATTTCATTCTAAAGCTTTTTAATAAACTTTTACTCTTACTCTAAAACTTGCCTTGTTCTCGCCTTCTGCCTTATGCCCCTCAGTTGAATTCTTTCTTCTGAGAAGGCAAGAACTGAGGTTGCTGCAGACATGTAGGAATTTGCTGCCTGTAACATATTTTGTTTCGGGGAGACTTGGATACATTCTGCTGCTAACAAGAAGCAACTGGCATTTATTCTAGTATTTATCCCTATTCCATACTATTCTATATTTGAAAACAATAGCGCAATCAGCTGGCAATTAGTTGAGGTTAAGGATAGCATGTGAAACCAGTAATGACAAACCAGACAGAAACTTAATGGGGAGATCAGGAAAAGAGACAGTCAAGAGGGCAGACTAAAATCACAGTCATCCGTGGTGCAACTGTTCACGCCCAAGGTTGTGCCCTGTGAAGAATGATGTCAGAGACTGCATACTACGGGGGAAATAGTCTTCACTAAATCAGTGCAGGTGAGTAAAAAAAAACCCCACAACCAATAAACAAGGAAACAACAACAAGAAGCTTAAGGAATAAGAATCTGTAGCAGAGTTGCTACAATGTGTTATAAAAAAATAGCCAGTTTTTAGCAAAGGATTGTGAGACACAAAGAAACAAAAAGGTGCAACCCACACTGAGGGATAGAAAGCAATAGAAAACTACCTATGAGAAAGTCTAAAGATTGGACTTCTCAAATATTTTAAAGCAGTTATATGAATACACCAAAAACTAAGGACAAATATGTTTACACAATTCAAGGAAGGTATGACAATGTCACATCAAATAGTTGAAATTATAGTACAAAAGGACCAGACGAAAATTCTAGAGTTGAAACTAGAGAGCTCAAAAATAAGTTAGAGCTTATAGAAGAATGAACCCATGAACTTGAAGATAGAGTAATAGAGATTATACAATCTGAAGAACAAAGAAAAAAACAATGGAGAAAAATAAAAATAATAATGGAGAAAAATAAAAATAAAGGGAACCTCAAAGAAATGTGATGTTATTAACTGCATCAACATATGTGTAATGGAAGTGCCAGAAAGGGGGAGAAAGAGAAAAAAATTTGAAGAAATAATGAGTGAAAGCTTTCCACTTTGAGGTAAAACAGCAGTCTACACATTCATGAGGCTCAATAAGCTCCACGTAAAATAAACACAAAAAGATTCATGCCAAAACACATCATAGGTCAGGAGCGGTGGCTCATGCCTGTAATCCCAGCACTTTGGGAGGCCAAGGCGGGTGGATCACCTGAGGTCAGGAGTTCAAGACAAGCCTGGGCAACATGGTGAAACCTCATCTTTACGAAAATACAAAATTAGCTGTGCATGATGGTTGGTGCCTGTAATCCCAGCTACTTGGGAGGCTGAGGCAGGAGAATCGCTTGAACCCAGGAAGCGGAGGTTGCAGTGAGCTGAGATCATGCCATCTCACTCCAGCTTGGATGACAGACTGGGACTCTGTCTCAAAAAGAAAAAAAAAGGGACACATCATAGTCAAAATGTACAAAGACAAAGAGAAAGATCTTGAAAACTTCTAGAGAATAATGACTCAGCAGATAAAAATGAATGCAGATAAGATTAATGCTGACTTCTCATCAGAAACAACATGCTGAAAGTAAAATATGCCCATTAAAAATCATAGTCGGCAAAACTATCTTTGAGAAACAAAGCCAAAATAGAGACTTTTCAGGTAAATAAATCTGAGAGAATTCATTGATAGCAGATCTATCTTATAAGAAATACTAAAGGAAATTCTCTAGGCTGAAAGCAAGTGACCCCCAGACAGTAATCCAGCTTACAGAAGAGAAACATAGAGTGCCAGTAAAGGAATTAAGTAGGTAATTATAAAAGGCAGTATAATTTCATTCTTCTTCTTTCTTCTCTTAAGTAATTTTAAAAACAATTGCATTAAACAATATATATAATTATATTGTTTGGCCTGTAACATACAGATATGTGATATATTTGACAATAACAGCACAAAGAAGGTGGGTGGGAACAAAGCTGTATTAGAATAAGGAATGACTCCTCAAATTCATAAGAACAAATGAAAATAACTATAAATGGTATATTAGAAGACTAATATAAAAATCTGTAAATATATACTTTCTCTCCATTCTTCTTTCAGCTTCTTGAAAAGACATATATCATAATTTTGACAATATATTCTTGAATTTGTCACAAATGTATATATAATCAACATGTTTAACAAAAATAACACACAAAAATGAAGACAGAGCTATATAGAATCAAATTTTATATAATCTCAATAGAAATCATTAGTATAAACCAGAGGTAGATTTTGATGGCTATTGTAAGCCACAAAGCAATTACTAAAAATATAATTCAAAAAATATAATTCAGAAAATATAATTTGAAAAACATTTAAAGAAATCAACACATCATACTAGAAAATATTTCCCAAGTACAAAAGAAAAAAAAGAAGAAATAAGATATGAGACATGAGACAAATAGAAAACAAAAAGCAAAGTGGCAAACTAAAATCCAACCATGTCAATAGTAACATTAAATGTAAATTCATTAATCACTTCAACCAAAAGGCAGATATTATCAGTTTGGATTAAGAAATGAAGATTCAACCATAACCATATGCTGTCTACAGAAGGTATACTTTAGACTCAAAGATACAAATAGGCCGAAAATAGGAAAATGGAAAAAGATATACGAGGCAAACTACAACCATAAGCTGGAGAAAAATGAACTTGAAAATAGAACAACAGAAAAATCAATAATCTCAAAAGTTAGTTCTTTTTATTTTTTGAGACAGGGTCTCACTCTGCCACTCAGCCTGGCGTCCACTGGTGAAATCACGGTTCACTGCAGCCTCAATATCCCAGGCTCAGGTGATTCTCCTACTTCTTCCTCCCATGTAGCTGAAATTATAGGCACCCAACACTATGCTCAGCTAATTTTTTGTATTTTTTGAAGAGACGGGGTTTCACCATGTTGCCCAGACTGGTCTTGAATTCCTGGGCTTAAGCAATCCACATCTTGGCCTCCCAAAGTGCTGGGATTACAGGCATGAGCCACAGCGACCAGTCAAAAGTCAGTTCTTTTAAAAGACCAGTAAAGTTGACAAATGGAGAACACTCATAATTTCTAAAATCAGTAATGATAGAGTGAACCTCAGTACTCAACTTACAAAAAATAAAAAGAAATTGCATAGGAATACTATGAAGAACAGTATGCCTACAAATTAGATTACTTAGATAAAATGGATGAATTCTTAGAAATATGCGAACTATAAAACTGATTCAAGAATAAATAGATAATTCAAACAAATAAATAGTGTGTAGTGAGGTTGAACTAGTAGTTAAAAAAATTTGCAAAGAAAGACTAGGGCATATAACTTCACTGGTGAATTCTAACTAACATTTAAAGCGGAATTAATACTAACCCTTCACCAACTCTTTCAAACAATAGAAGAGGAAAGAATACTTCCTAACTCATTCTCTAAGGCCACTGTTATTATCTTGACACCAAAGCAGACAAAAACAGCACAAGAAAACTATAAAAAATATCTCATATAAATGCAAAAGTCTTCAACACTACACTAGTAAACCAAATCTAGCAAAATACAAAACGGATTATATACCAGGGACAAATAGTATTTATACTATACGAGGTTAGATTAACATAGAAAAATCAGCTCATGCAATATACTCTATTAATAGAATAAAGACCAAAACTATTATTATATCAGTAGATGCAGGAAAAGACATTTGAAAAAATACCATACCCACTTATAATAAAAACACTAAGCAAACTAGGAATAGAAGGGAACTTCATAACTTAATAAAAGGTCTCTACAGAATTAGCTAACCTCACACTGAATGATGAATCTCTGAAGACAATAGTCAGGAACAAGCAAAAAATGTGTCCTCTTACCATTTCTATTCAACATTGTCCTGGATGTAGTAACCAGATCAATTAGGTAAGAAAAAGACATAAAAGGTATCCAGACTGGAAAGGAAGAAATAAACCTATCTCTTGTCTGTAGATGATATGCTTTTGTATACAGAAAATCCTAAGGAATCTACAGAAAAATGTATCTTAACAAATACATGATTTCAGTAAGGTTGATACAATATCAATACACAAAAATCAACTGTATTTCTATAAAAAATAAACAATCTGAAAATGAATTTAAGAAAATAATTCAATTTGTAACATCAAAAATAATAAAGGACTTAGAAGTAAGCATAAGGAAAGAAGTGCAAGGCTTACATACTAAAAACTATAAAACATTGCCAATTAAAATTAAAGAAGACCTAAATAAATGGGAAGATATCTTATAGTTATAAATTGGAAGACTTAATGTTGTTAATATGGCCATTCTTTCCAAGTACTGATCTACAGATTTAATGCAACTCTTAAAGTCACAGCTGACTTTTTTGGTGCAGAAATTGAGAATCTGAGCCAAAAATTTATATGAAAATGCAAGGGACCCAGAATAGCCAAAATAATTCTGAAGAAGTGTAAAATTGGTAGACATAATTCAGGATTTCAAACTTTACTGAAATTCAAGAGAGTATGGTACTAGCATGAGAATAGGTATGTACATCAGTGAATATAATTGAGAGTCCAGAAATAAGCCCTTTCATTTTCTCTTAATTGATTTTCAATAAGGGTGCTAAGACCATTCAATAAGGAAAAATAGTCTTTTCAATGAATGGTACTGAGACAACTAGATATCCAGATGCAAAAGATTGAAGTTAGACCCCTTCTTCTCTCTAACCAAAGATTAACTCAAACTGGTTACCTAAACATAAAAGGTAGTACAGATGCTTCTTAATTTACAGTGAGGTTGGATTTCAATAAATCCATCACAAGTTGGAAATATCATCAGTTTAAAATGCGTTAAATATATCTTACCTATTAAACATCATAGCTTAGCCTAGCCCACCTTAAATGTGCTCAGAACATTTACATCAGCCTACAGTTGGGCAAAATTATCTAACACAAAGCCTATTTTATAATAAAGTGTTGAATATCACATGCGTATAATGTATTTAATAATGTATTGAAGGTGAAAAACAGAATGATAATATGGGCACTCTCAAATTATGGTTTTCACTGAATGCATATGTGTCAAAAAATGTTAAGTCAAACCATTGGAAGTTAGAGACAGTCTTCACTATAAAACTCAGGAGAAAACAGAGGGGTAAATCTTCATTATTGTGAGTTAATACTTCTTACATATGACACCGAAAGCAAAGCAACAAATTTTAAAAAAATACATAAATTGGATGTCATCAAAATTAAAAACTTTTGTGCTGCAAATGATACCATCAGGAAAGTGAAAGAACATTCCACAGAATGAGATAAAATATTGGTAAATTATATATCTACCTGATAAGGAAATTTTAACCAGGATATATTTTTAAAACTCTTACAACTCAATAATAGAAAAATAAGTAACCCTGTTAAAAATTCAGCAAAGGTTCCAAATAGACATTTCTCCAAAAAGATATAAAAATGCCCAATAAGTACATGAAAATATTCTCAACATCATTAATTACTAGGGAAATGCAAATTTAAACCTTAATGAGATGCATTGTCACATTTTGTAGAATGTCTATAACAAAAAAGACTGACAATAACAAACATTGGTGAGGATGTAGGAAAATTGGGAGCTATCATTCATTCATGGGAATGTAAAATGGTGAAGCCACTTTTGAAAACAGCTTGTCAGTTCCTCAAAATGTTGAATATAGAGCTACGTGTGAACTGGCAATTCTACTCCTAAATATATACCCGAGAGAAATACAAAGACATATTCTCAAAATCATGTACATGAATTTTCATAGATGTTTTCTTCATTGTAGTCCCAAAATGGATAACATCCAAATGTCCTGCAAGTGATGAATGGATAAATAAATGTGGTATATATCCAAAATATAAGACTCTTCTACAATAAAAAAAAAAATGAAGTACTGATACATGCTATGGCATGGATGAACCTTCAAAACATGCTAAGTGAAAAAAGCCAGTCACAAAAGAGAACATATATAGTATGATTTCATTTTATATGAAATGTCTAGAAGAGGCAAAATAGAGACAGAAAAGTGGATTATTCATTGACTAGGGCTGGGGCAGGATATAGAGTAGTAACAAATGACTGCTAATGGCTACTGGGCTACCTTTTGCAGTGATAAAATGCTCTAAAATTAGGATGTAATGATGGTTGCACAACTGTGAATATACCATAAATCATTGAATTGTACACTTTAACCAGGTGAATTTTGTTATATGTTATATATGTAATTATATCTCCATAAACTGTTAATGACTTTTATATGTAGATTCATATGCAATTAGATCCATTTTTGAATTTTCTATCCTTTTCTATTGATCTATTTAATCACAAATACTATACTGTTTTAACTGCAGAACTTGATAACATGTCTTAGGGTCGGCTATGCTTAGTTGGTCCTCACTGCTTATGTTACTTAGGAATGTTTTCTGGCTATTCTTGCTTGTTTACTTTTCCGTTTGAATTTTATAATCAATTTGTTGTACGCCAGAACAAACCAAAAAAATCCCATTAATGTTATTTTTATTGGTATTTTATTAAATGTGTTTGTCTTGGGGAGTAAAAAAGAAGATCTATAAATCTTTTGTTGATTTTAGGCAGCTGAGGCATACTGAGTAGCATGTCTTAGCACGATAGAAGGAGGGTGAATTTTGTATACATGTAGCTTCAGGTTTCACTTTACTCCCTCATTAAACATGCAAACTTGAACAAGTTGATTATTTTATCTCTATTTGAGTTTTCTCATTTAGAAAGTTAAAATGATATTACTCAAGATACAGGTTGTTTGGAGAATTAAACCTTCACAAGTGTGTGGGTCTTTTTCTGTTCTTTTTCTTTTTTCTCTGATACGTTTCCAGTGCTAGAATAGTGCCTGCTCCATAGTAGAAGCTTAATAAATGAATGAAACATCTATTAAAGTTCTCAGCACATATTGGGCAATCAAATGTTAGTGCCTTTTAAAAATCTTTATTTCACAAACAATGCCAGCGTCAAATTTATAATTATATGTTAAGCAATTTCCTTGGGATTTTCATATTATTGAAATATTTTGGATAAAAGCTAAGACTGAACATTTTTCTCTGTTGTATCTATTTTATTATTTTTATTTATGTATTTATTTATTTATATTTATTTTTGAGATGGGGCCTTGCTGTGTTGCCCAGACTGGTCTCAATCTCCTAGACTCAAGCGATCCTCCTGCCTCAGCCTCCCAAATCACTGGGTGTTCAGGCATAAGCCACTGTGCTCAGACTCTCTATGATGTTTACAATGAAATTTTGATGTGGTTGAATATAATTTTCTGAAGTTTAAGTTTTAATTTCATATTTTCTTTAGTTTTGTACAAATAATAGCACTATGTAGTTGCATTCCAGAAGCAACTCATGTAAATATTCCATTAAGAGTGGACTCACAGGAATAATGAAAAGGCAGTAAGTCATATCTGTATCATCCATATGCGTGATGCATGTTAACACTGTGTGGGATTTGCAGTTGGAAGAAAATGCCCTAAACAGACATTTTTATTATTTTGACTTGTTTATGAGTGAGGTCATGTTTGTTATTAAATAGTAAAATTTACATAGTAAAGATTGCAAAACAAACAAACAAACCCAGCCCTGAAAAACATTAATACTCTGTAATACTCTGTGAATGAGAAAATGACTAATGCACCTGTGAACAGATTCTCAACAGTGGTAAAATTAAGCTTTAATTGCTGTCTCTCTCTCTCAGTAAATATTCTCTCTCTCACTAAATGAATATAATATATATTTAGAACATTCTCTATAAAGAGGAAATATAGAATATTTTAAATATATAAAACTAAAATATATATTTAGAATAATTTAATGTATTTAGAATATTCTAAATAAACAGAGGAATAATACAGAATATTATATATGTGTATATATAGTGTATGTGAAAGAGAGACAGATTGTTAAATTACAATAAACACAGTTTATCTTTGTATAAATAAGTTTAGGGTAGAAAAATTCATGTTGGTTTATTGATAGAAGCTCTAGCTTCTGACAGCAATTGCTGGAATATCTGGCATCCTTAATAATCCAAGAAGTTTGGGGTACTATGTGTGTATTTATAAGTACAAGATTGTCTTCCTTTAATTAACTGGAATAGTTTTTCTAATGGTGTCATGGAGGAATACCTAAACTAGTTGTAAACATAACTATTTTTTTTTTCTCAAAATGTCAAGGTTGTTTGTACAGCAACCAACACTAATTGGCTTGAAGATAGGCTTCTCTCTTGGCCTTGGCTCTTCTGGTATAAAATTTTTCCTCCAAATGGCACATATATATGATGAGATGCAACTCTATATAATTGTGGTGTAGTAGAACGTGTAGACTTTGAAATCAAGGAAAAAAATCAAATTTTGGTATTATTATTTACTAACTGAATGACTGGGGCCAATCATTTAATTTCTCTAAACCTCAATTTCTTACTAAGGAATGGTGCAGAAACTTCATTGGTGCATACAACTTCATTGGTGAATTCTACCTAACATTTAAAGCAGAATTAATACTAACCCTTCACCAACCCTTTCAAACAATAGAAGAGAAAAGAATACTTCCCAACTCATTCTCTAATGCTACTATTATTATCCTGACACCAAACCAGACAAAAACAGCACAAGAAAACTATAAAAAATATCTCTTATATAAATACAAAAATCTCCAACACTATACTAGCAAACCAAATCTGCAAAATACAAAAAGGATTATGTAACAGGGATAAGTAGTATTTATACTATACAAGGTCAGATTAACATAGAAAAATCAGTTCATGCAATATACCCCGTTAAAACCCACAGAATGGGGAAAAATATTCATAATCTAAACATGCAACAAAGGACTAATATTCATCCAGTGGGCCTAGTGTTCTAGTCATTTCTTTGCCTGTCCTCAGATAAAAAGTTTCTTATAGCTTGCTTGCAGATTTTGCCTTTCTCATGCTTGTCTTGTGTAATTCCAACAACTATGAAATAGTGCACTATCAGCAAAAAGCATATAATTCCATATATGAATGGACCATGACTTGGGGGAATTGATTTTAAGTTTTGTCAACACAGAGTGGCTATCAAGGCACTGAGACTCATTCTGAGCCTTCTTTTGCCTGTTTTACACCAACAATGACCAAGCTGAGAATTATATCAAGAACTCAATCCCTTTTACAATAGCTGCAAAAAAAATAAAATACCTAGGAATATACATAACTAAGAAGTGAAAGACTCTACAAGGAGAACTACAAAACAATGCTGAAATAAATTATAGGTGACGTAAACAAATGGAAATATATCCTATGCTCATGGATTGGAAGAATCAATATCATGAAAATGACCATACTGCTTAAATTGATCTACAGATTCAATTCAATTCCTATCAAAATATCAATGCCATTTTTCATAGAATTAGAAAAAAAATTCTAAAATTCATATGGCACCAAAAGGGAGTCAGAATAGCCAAGGCAATCCTAAACACAAAGAACAAATCTGAAGGCATCCCATCATCTGACTTCAAATTATATGACAAGGCTATAGTAACCAAAACTGCATGGTAGGGCTATAAAAGCAGATACATAGACCAATGAAACAGAATAGAGAACCTAGAAGTAAAGCCAAACACTTCCAGCCAACTGACCTTTGACAAAGCATACAAAAACATAAACTGGGGAAAGGACACCCTATTCAATTAAATGGTACTGGGAAAACTGGATAGCCACATGTAGAAGAATAAATCTCAATCCCTGTCTCTCACCATATACAAAAATCAGCTCAGGATAGATGAAAAACTTAAATCTAAAACCTGGACCATAGAAACCCTAGAATAAATCCCAGGAAAAACCCTTCTAGACATTGGCAAAGTCTTCGTGATCAAGAAACTCAAAGCAAATGCAACAAAAACAAAAATAAATAAATAGGATCTAATTAAACTAAAACACTTTTGCACAGCAAAAAAATAAATAATAATAACAATCAGAAAACCCACAGAATGAGGAAAAATATTCATAATCTATGCGTGTGACAAAGGGCTAATATTCAGAATTTGTAAATAACTCAAGCAAGTCAGCACGATAAAAACAATCCCATCAAAAAGTGGGCAAATGATATGAATAGGCATTTCTCAAAAGAAGATATACAAATGGCCAAAAAACATAGGAAAAATGCTCAACATCACTAACCATCAGGGAAATGCAAATTAAAACCACAATAAGATACTTCATACAATTCATTAATGTATCCAAAAACTACTTCTACCCCTACAGCTATCAAAATAATCAAATAAATTAATAAACGAGGAATGATGGTTTGGATCATAAAGCGCATGTTCATCTGTGGGACTGGCAAAAGGAAAAAAATAAGATGAAGTCAATAATAGACAAGTTACAATTAGCAAGTGCAACCTTATACCCAAATGCAAAAATGAGGGTTAGAGTAACTATGCATATATTTTCCTTGCTTTATTATGATGATATTTGTACATATTGATGAATCTTTCCATCTCTCTTTCCCTAATATTTAATATAAGGTGTATTGGTACATGTGAATCTTATAATCAACCTTTAATAATATCAGCCTCATCCACTTTAAGTAGCAAAATATCAAAATGGGATTGTAATTTTACTGGAAGATCAATAAGCATTATTTCAAGATGAAAACAGTGACTTATAGGTTTTGGGATCTTCCCTTCTTTGGAAAATAATGAATGTATCTTATACAAGGGACAGTTACATTAGGTAGGTGGAAACATGTTGTTTCTGTTTCAGTTTGTCAGTTTAAATGTGATTGAAGGGTGTGTGTGTTAACACAGAGCGGCTATCAAGGCACTGAGACTCATTCTGAGCCTTCTTTTTCCTGTTTGTTTATTTGTTTATCATAAGGGCAACTACTGACCTGTGAAATGGAAGAAAGTCACGCCCTGAAGATGAAGACAAAGTCATCGCATCTGATTTTGTTTTCTGTCTACCTAGCTGGATAAAGTCCTACCTGCTCATGTCCTTTCCAAAGATGCGAATAAATGCAGCGCATCTAAGCCTTCGCCAGGACCTGAAGCCCAGCCTTCCAGCCAGTAGCTATTTTCTCTGCTTCCACACTTGCCAGCATTTGGAACCACATATACCTTGGCCAACCCAAGAGAGAGTTGGGGCTGCGGCTATTCGGGGTGAAAGCCCTCAGGTTTGTAGGTTAAATGGGATTTGTTACAAAAAGGTTTTCAGATAGCTTTATCCATTTAGGGAATTAAGTTCAGCGTGTTCTTAGCTACCAGTGACTTGGTCCCTGATTCCTTGTCTGCCTGTCTTTGAGGAGCACAGATTCGGTTAAATAGCTGAAAAAAAAGAAGGCAGGTACAGTTAACAAATAGCTGGCATACAGCAGGCAGCTGTGGTACAAAAATACAGTAATATACAAGCCAGTATTCTGTTTTCTCTCTTGATTTTCTCCCTGTAATCTTCCTCATCAGATCCCATGGATGGGAGCTTTTTATCACTTCAAGGAGTGCAAAATCGGCAATGAAAGGAAAAATTAATGATTTTAAAAGAAGCTAATAAAATAAAAATTAATAGTCCAGAAAATATTTGAGGGGAGGTGGAATCCAGCAGAACCAATTTTTTCTTTGTCCTTCAAATACATAAAAGTCCTCTGAGATGGAATTAGAAGAAAATTTAAGGAAACAGTTTGATGCTGGCACATATATGCATATTGGGGTAGAGGATGGGGGCTGTGCCATCCTCTTCCTCAGGTCTAACATAAAGAATAGTAAAATAACGTGTGGATCTGAGAGTAAAGCGGGCAAGTGCCCTGCTACTGTCTTGTTTGCCTTGAAAGAGCAAATCTCAAGGAGTGTTTCCTTTTCCTCAGTGGTAGAATAAGGCCATGCTGCATAGGGTCTTAGGCGTGGGTCCAAGTTAGCCTCAGAGAGCCCACACCCCCACCTGGCCAGTTAAACAGCATAACACTTTCCTTGTGAGGCTATTTGGATACGGCATTGATTACTGAAAGATGGAAAGGGTTCCATGACGTGGCCGATTGGGTGGCATGGATGGTGAGCTGGCAGCCAGGTGGTGGGTGCTGCCTGCTTGTGGATTGCTGAGAGAGGAAATTCAAGACTGAGAAGTGGGCGGGACCCCCCACTCATTTCCCACCACTGAATACAATTGAGAATCAGCTTCGGGAAGAAATCCCTATAACTGAGTTTCAAACTTAAATGATGAGAAAATACTTTGAATAGTCTACTTACAAGTGACTAGATTAGATGGAAATTCAAAACAGAAACCAAGTCCCTGTATAGGGAAACAAAATTAAATATCTGCACACCTAATATATCAGCAAATATATGGTGTAGTTATAATTGCATTCTGTTTCAATTATTCTAATGAACCTCCTTTTGTTTTAGTGAGAGATGGGAGAAAGTGTTATTTTTATTTTTAGCAAATGCAAACGTTATCTCGGCACTGGTGGGATTGAAGGGGGGTTGGCGTTAAGTCTCTTGAATAGAGTTTCTCGAAATACTAGCAGAGCATGCAATTCTAATAAGTAATACAACTATTTTAAAAGAGGTTTTGTAATTGGGCTTTAATAATTGCTTCATATATTTTAAAACACATATTACTATTCAACAGAGATTTTTTACTTCACAATTGACTTACTTCTTCAATTTGCCTAATGATAAGCTCATAAAAAATGCTAACATTAATCATATGGCTACTATATATTACATATATATTAGTTAACTTTAAGACAAGAAAGTTACTTTTTGTAAAATTATATATATACATCATATATATTATTATTATCCTTACTATTCCCATTATGGATATTCTCCTGATCTTCCTTCCCAGCTCAGGTGATCTGAAAGTACAAATTATTTCTTAGAAAATAACTTTTTATGAGAAAACATATGGAGAATTTAATAAAATAAAACAAAACTAGCACTTTCCTAAGGGATTTGTAGAGCAGAAGCTTCACTTCAAATGCTGTTTTCACAAATGGCTGAAAAGTAGTTGGTTTTCTTCAGCTTCTATTTTATCTTAAACAAAGTAAGACAAAAACATTTTATCATATTATTTTCACTTGTCTTCTCACTGTAAGAACATTTTATTAGAGTTTCTTCCTCTGATGAATATGTGATTTTAGAATGGCTATGGAAGCTCAGAATCCCTCATTATTATTTGTCTGTAAACTGATACCTGAAAAGACTTTCTTGAAGTGAACATCACACAGCATCCACCTGGAGAGAGGAAAGTTTGCCCAGAAAGCAACTTGCGGTTTTTAGAAACCATGTCTGCACCTACAATGTAAATTCAACCTGTCATTCCCAAACCACAGTCCCTTAAGACCGTAATTTACTTTACAAGGAAAAATGTTTTACTTTAACTCACATTAAAGCCTCCTTCTATGACAGAAAGATAATTATAATAATGAACAACATCTCATCTCTGCCCTTCAGTCATTTCAGTAGAACATGTAAGCATATGCCCTACACTAGCTCTTGATCAGTCTGCCTACAGATGAGGTTGTTTTCCATTTTTCAATCACTCAGAGACATAAATTGCACATAATACTTTGTACAGATAAGCTGTATTAGATCCATTTTTAACCACAAAGGAAGGTTACTTATAAAATGGTGGCTCATGAGGGAGAATAAATGATCTTTATTGAAATGAAGGAAATTGCATACTTCTAAATCTTAAATAATTCCAACATTGCCGAAAGCAATATAATCCCTTGGCAAATCTTGATAGATTATTTATGCTTTGGAATAGAGTCATCCAGGTGTATGACCATCCTTGATTAATAATGAGTGTATATTCTGGATGATCATAGCACAGTATTGTGTTACAAAGCCAGCACCAATTGTTTGGAATAGAAGCAGCAAATGTGGCTACTACTCTAATCAAAATAGATCAGCAAATAATGGCTTATCAGAGGGAAGTGTACAATATAATCGTGATTCTATATATTGGCCTTATATAATGAGACACAGAAAAAAACCAGTCTAGATTCTGCTGATTGGTTTGAAGATAATCTTATTGTCATCCTCTTAAAGAGATGATCACGTTAGGTGGGTTTAAAAGGGGCAAATGGACACAAGAAAATGAGGAAGTTAACTCAACAAAATCGGGGTAATCATGAGTTGATATTTCAAACCTGTTCAGACTGCATTCCTCTCCTTTTTGTTCTCTTCAAGAATGCTGCCCAGGCTCTGTGACACCTTGTATCTTTTTATCAATGGTTATTGCAGAGGGCATATTAAACTGACCTCAAAGTTTGGGTTTGAATTCATCTTGTGTTCTGTTCACCATAGACACTTCATATGTAATAGACAACATCATCTATTATATCTCGTATTCTCTGAAGGTTTTTTGTGGCTGAGGTATGTTCAGATAATCACAGCTGGAATTCCCTGTATTTACTCTGACATTCCCTGTATTTACCCTGCATGATCTCTATAACCTTGGTGTATCCCTATCTATGAATATAGGTCACGTGCAGAGGAGTGCAGGCACCTATCCTGGTGTTCCTCAGAAAGAACTCAGTTGCACCTTGATGTGAAAGAAAGCGTTCACATAAGCCAGGCCTGATGGCCTGTGCCTGTAGTTTGAGCTACTTGGGAGGCTGAGGGGAGAGGACTCCGTGAGTCCAGGGGTTTGAGGCCAGCCTGGGCCTAGTGAAAAATTCTGTCTCTTAAAAGACAGAGAGAAATGGAGATAGAGAGAGAGAGAGAGATCACTTGTGCATTGATAATGTTAAAGGACCACAAGTTCTATAGAGAGACTTGAGAAAAAACAGTACTGAACTTTAGGAAAATGTTGAATCTTTAGGTTCCCTCTTTCTATCTTCCCTCACAATGCCCCTGAAACTATTATAAGTGGATTTTGTTATTGTGATGGAATAAAATGGAAGTAAAAGGAGATTGTGAAAGTTGTTTCTATATGAATGAGGCTAAGCAAATATTATCCATTAGAAAATGTATTCCTTAGAGCTAATCATGAGATATGACATGGCTTTATAATGTTTTGTATCCCAAACCTCTAAAGTTAGAATAGCTTCTGCTTTTACCAACTTAACCTTCCAATTAGGTGACATATCTGACTCGATTTGAGAAATCCTTATAAGGAAGTTGAAATAAAAAATTTATTGAGAAGTGAAAAACACAACTTTCTCCTTGATTCCCCAAATAAGTTTTGGAGAAGCAACAGAAAGTAAGAAAAGAGCCCAGTCTAAGAGTCATTGAAGGCTTAGTCTCTCCCACAAGACTTCATTTTCTCTCTGTGTTGTCTTCGATTCACAGGGGTCTGGGGGAGGATCTATGCATTCCTCCATACCTTCCTGACTCATTGAATGTCTGTATCCTCAGAAAAAATGTATCTCAACCATTTGTTGCTCCCTATGCGCTTCTCTTCACACACTGTTTCAGACAATAATAACACTTTATAAATGCTTTTTGATGATAATGCTTCATAAGTGGTATAGCGGATTAGGAGTAAAGAGATATGATTTCTAGTATCTTCCTCTTATTCATTTCTTTTGGAAATAGAATTTTCATGTATCAATTTTGTATAAGAGGTGGGAGGTAAAACTTTATTTTAATGCAATTGTGTATGTGTGTGTGAGTGTGTGTATGTGTATGTGCATGTTTAAAAAGTGCTTCACATTTTCAATGCCAAAATGTCCAAGCATTATCTACTTTAATGGTGTGATTTTAAGGCGACTGATGGTACATATTAAAACCAGATATTTTGCTTTTATCCAGATATTTGAATTTTTATCTTTTTTATTCTTTTAAAGTTTTATTTTTTATACATAGAAATAGCTCCTATAATCCCACAGATTTAAAATATATCTTCTGTTATAGAAAATTTGCAAAGTATAGAAAAAACTGGCCTTACAACCAATTTTCAAATAAAGTTGGACTTAATTTTTCCATTCTTAAAAGACAGCATGGTGTCTATGGATAAGTGAGGTTTGCTTGCGGCTTCAGACCCATGGTCTGTCTAGCCATTTTCCATGAAAGTGCAGTCTTGCGAGGATCAAGAAAGGCTGCCTGACTACTAGAGACATTGCCATGACAGAGGCAGTAACCTCTCTATGCCTCCTCTGTTTCTTCCTCTGTACAATGAAGATAATGTTTACCTCCAAAATTTATTGTAAAGATGAGTTGAGCTAATATGGTAAGCAATCGTGCTTGACATTATTAAACATTCATTAACATTTTAAATGTAGGTACCACACTCAACATTCCAGTTGTGTTCTGAACATTCTTCTTTTAGCAACCAATTTCAATACTTTCATCTGTGAAAATCCACATAAACCTTTTGGAATGGTATCTGTTTTCCCTCTGTACCACTGGTAAAGGAATTAGTGCCTCAGTTTTACGACTCTCCATTGTTTATTTGTAGGACTTTCCAAAAAAAGTAGTATCTCCCCTTGTTCTTACTACTCTAGAATATGGTAAACTGCCTAGTTTGCCATTTGCTAAGTATCCATCCAGTGGGCCTAATGTTCTAGTCATTTTTTTTGCCTGTCCTCAGATAAAAAGTTTCTTATAGCTTGCTTGCAGATTTTCCCTTTCTCATGCTTGTCTTGTGTCATTCCAACAACTGTGAAATGCACTATCAGCAAATAGCATATAATTCCATATATGAATGCACCATGACTTGGGGGAATTGATTTTAAGTTTTGTCAAAAGGCAAGAAAATCTCCACGAGCAACTTTTGAAAAACGTAGCAATTAAGACCCAGCTCTAACCTCAAGAGACTGGAATTTAATGGTACTCCGTTTTCTTACAGAATACCCAGAAGTCTTTCAGAGCCATACAATAATTGTCTAGGAAGGTCAGTGCATTAAAAAGCATAATAAGTGAGTTTCTTTCCTCTCCTTCCTTTAATGTACAGCTAAGATGCTTTGTCAGTTGATTAAATCTCTAATGTCTGCTGCACTTAGTGCCACCCAGAGAGAACATTGTAAAAACTTTCCTGAAAATTTCCCAGGTTTGAGACTGGCTTTATTTCTAGGGTTTTCTCAAATGCACAGATTACAGTTTTAGATTTCTTTTCCTTTTTGAGCATAAATCAGTAGTGTTTTTGACTATACAAAAGACATCTGTGTCATATAGAGCAGTAACAAATCAAAGGATACGATGTCTGCAACCAGGTAATTGATGAGAAAATGGGTCCTTATGAACATTTGTCAGCGTGCCTTACCACAGTTGAACTTTCCAATTTTTGTATCACATCGTAGCCAAAGTATCTGTTAGCCACTTATTTTGTAATATGTTTATGTAGTTTATATCTATGTAATGTGTTTTGTAAAACATGGGAAACATTTCAGTACATTTTAACTTGAGCACATTAGAGGGTAAGTACTATTGTGCAGAAATTCAAATGAGTTGAGATTCTTTTGACCATTCACTCTTTCTTATTTAAAAACACTATAAAACTTATTTTAAAGAAATCCTGAATAGATATAGCCTTCAAAGAACTTCCACCATTGCACAGGATGTAGAACCTCTAATGAAAGTAAGACACAAAATGAAAGATATAAGTGCCAGAAGAAAGAGCTACCCAAATCGCAGGGAAATTCAGAGTGGGGAGAAATTATAGAAAACTTCACTGATAAGGAAATGCCGGAAGACTCAGTGAGGAGAGATGGAACCATGACGTGGGTATGTGGAGTCAGATGAAGGGCACTGAAAGCACCAGAGTAGTGTAAACAAAGGTAAAGATAACCTGTCATTTTATTTGAGAAGAAATTAGGCAGTAATGGTCACCACATTGTTGGGGTCTTGAATGTCAGAGGAAGGAGCTTGAACATAACTCTTGTCAGTGGAAAGCCATTGAAGACCTTTGATGAAAACATTGGTGGGAAAAGATTGATAATTAATCTAGTCATGTTTAAAAATGATTGAATAAGCAATGGAGAAAAGGAGAACTTTAGGAGAAGTGAAGAAAGGAATGGTATCTTTGGTATTTTTTATGGAGTATCTATGCTTGCTGCTTTTGTATTATCTCATTTACTATGTTACACTTAAAACATTCTCATTGCATGGGAAATTGAGGATCAGCACAGTTTTGTACAGGAGGATATTAAGGTTAAAAATTGAGAAGTAATTTGACAATGTATGAAGCTTTGTGCTATGTTAGAAACAGCAAATTTGAAAGTCTTACAAAAGTACGTTTGGATCCTTGCTTTGCCTAGCTAACTAGCTTGGTGAAATCGTGGAATTTCTAAGAACATTAGTGACTCTCCAACCTGAAAAAAAGCTACCTTGTAGAAGTGATGTGAAGATTAAATGAGAGAACACGAATTAAAGCCACTGATACAATTTAAGTTTAAATTGTATCAGTGGCTTTAATTCCTCAAATAATTACTTGCTCAAGATCACACAACTGTAGTGAAGTGGAGTCAGAAGTCAGACTTGCATCTTTTGCTGTTAAACCAGGCTTCCTTTGTATTTCACCACTTGTATTTCACCACTCTGTCTGGTGAAGGCCTAGAGGATCAGAAATGAGGATGTGGAGTTTGGGAGGGGTAGTTGCAAAGAGGAAGAGAGGAAAGACACAATTGATATTAGAGAGATAGGATTACAAGAAATTGGCAACTGACCCAATTAGTATTGGCAGCTGACCCAATTGGTATTGGAATGTACTTTTTGCATGGACTTTTGTAGAGACTATGTTCTAGAACACATAATGGACACATTGCTGATGCCAAAACCTTGCTGGCATAATGTGATCACTGTGCAGTCACATCGAATGTTCAATGATGAACACAGGCCAAGGGAGTTGTTAGGCTGTTTCTAGTTTAGTCCTCAGTATTGCTTTATGTAACTGGCAATTTATATCTTGTTTGTGACAAAATACAACTTTGAAAAAGACATTTTCAGATAATAGGACGACTTCTTTGCTTCAGATTCTTCACTGCTAGAAATCTGCAGTGTCTACTCTGCTCCATATGAAAGTCAGATGAAGGAAAGTGAGTTTTCTCAAACAACATATATGACACCTGACTACGTTAAAACAGGTAATGAAAAACTGGTACTTAATATGAATAAAATAGAAAAATTGATAATACACTGGCTTGTGATATCAAGGACAGCCACCCTCTTTCACCCCGCTCCACCCACTTTTTAAAGCACAAAACTGCTCATATTGCAGGAAATGATCTTTGTACATCAAACCCATAAATTGTTCAATCACATTTTCTTTGCTTTTAGAGTCAAGTTGCAGCATATTGTATGTGGTAATTTGGTGTATTTGGGGAAATGTCAGCTTTCTCCACCTGTGTCCACTCCATTAAATAAGCAATGCTGCTCTCACTGCACCAAGGAAAATAATTTATCATATTTCCCAACTCCAAGGTGGCTAGTGAAGGCTTCAGCTGTACTCTGAAGGTTGACAGGGGCCAGTAGGTCTAGGAGAAGGGGCAGGAGGGGCTAAGATCCTTCTCTCCTTCACATGGATGCCTTCAAAGGGAGAGGACAGCCCAGCTGTTAAGAGAACTTGTCTGTGGGCCGGGCACAGTGGTTCACGCCTGTAATCCCAGCACTTTGGGAGGCTGAGGCGGGTGGATCACGAGGTCACGAGGTCGGGAGATCAAGACTATCCTGGCTAACACCGTGAAACCCCGTCTCTACTAAACATACAAAAAATTAGCCAAGCGTGGTGGCGGGTGCCTGTACTCCCAGCTACTCGGGAGGCTGAGGCAGGAGAATGGCATGAACCCGGGAGGTGGAGCGTGCAGTGAGCCGAGATTGTGCCACTGCACTACAGCCTGGGCGACAGAGTGAGACTCCGTCTCAAAAAAAAAAAAAAGAGCTTGTTTGTCTACTGCATGTTTATACTCTAGGTTTATTCAGAAATAAAGAGAGAGAGGGAGAGAGGAAGAAAGGAAAGGAAAAAAGAAAAGAAGGAAGGAGGAGGAAGGAAAGAGAGAAAAAAGGAAAGATAGAAGACAATCTGAATGAATGAGCACTCTGACTGCAAACTGGCATTCCACTGCAAATTTGACTAATGAAGTTGTCAATTTACTACTTAATTTAGTACCCTGAGACTGGTTTATCCATCTGTGAAATGGTATAGCTTTATTTAACATTACTCAAAGGATGTTTTGATCATGTTAACAATGACTAACATTTTACATAGCATCCTTTCTTGAGAAAAGCAAAGTGCCGATGACATATTCTTCATAGACTATAAATTATCCTAGGAATGTAGATATTATATCAACTTTTCTCATCATCAACCAAACCCTTCTTTCATGAGAGGACCTCTATTTGATGGCATTTTAAAGTTAAATTTCCAGCCAGGCACGGCGGCTCATGCCTGTAATCCCAGCACTTTGGGAGGCCAAGGTGGGCGGATCACTTGAGGTCAGGAATTCAAGACCAGCCTGGCCAACATGGTGAAACCCCATCTCTACTAAAAATAGAAAAATTAGCTGGGCGTGGTGGTGCACGCCTGTAATCCCAGCTACTTGGAAGGCTGAGGCAAGAGAATCACTTGAATCCAGGAGGCAGAGGTTGCAGTGAGCTGAGATTGCACCACTGCACTCCAGCCCAGACAGCAGAGCGAGATTCCATTTCAAAAATAATAAAATAAAATAAAATAAAAAGAAAGTTAAATTTCCAAATCAAAGAAAAAATTCCATGTGATTATTTCTATCTTAAAAACAGGACATAAATTGTTTTCAGATATGAGACAAGTGAAAATTCCACTTAGTCTTGAAAAATTGGCAGTCTTTACAAATGTACCTAGCATCCCTAGCTTTCCCAAGTGACCCAAAGAGAATACCACAAATCTAATACCTCCCTTCCATAGGAACAGTTTCTTTAAAAAATCAGTAAAAGCAGTACATTTAACTAACTCTACCTGCAATGTACTATTTTTAGTAGGCTCATTTCTTATCAGTAGGCTGTTTTGTTTTCAGATAGGACCAGAGATTTCTGAATATTTAATTTTCATGTTTTCTTTATAATAGACATAATTTCCCTTGCTTTGGTCTGACCAAATAACTCTGCAATGCAGAACTTATTTGCTTCTTAAGTATTGGCTAGTATACTTTAAATTACATGCTCTTGTAATAAATTATGAGACCATGCTGTGTGTGCGTGTTGCATGTGCATGTGTGCTTTTAAAATCAGGGTCCCTTCATGTTTTGTTTCTACATAATACCTCAATTAAATGGGGTAAGTTGACTAAAACTATTGAAAATCAGAGAGATTTTTTAAACAAATAAGACATTGAAACTTGTAAGTGATTTACGTTTATAGATTATCCAGTGCAAATGTGAACCTCTATGTAATTTTTCTGTTTTATAAGAAATAATTTCCACATTGGAAAGTCCCCTTTAAAAAAGACTTTCAAAATAGAAAAATGTAGAAATTTAGGCACTTAGCAAAATAGAGAAGTGTGTCCTGAAATTCAAAGAAAGAATCAGAAACATTTTCTTTGATTTTTACACAGTACTGGTTACCATGGTCATATCAATTCAAGGTTATTTAATGGCAAGCAACATGAAAAATTGACACAATGCAATAAAAAGTTATAAACAATTCCAGAGATACTCTGGCACTCTTTAGTGAAGTCCTATTATAATCTGTTTGACTTTGTTTTAACCTTCTACAGAATAACTGTAAGCATGTGTCTACCTACATCTGAGGGTAGCTTTTGGGATGCTCTAAAGACAGCTGATCTTAATAAAAGACTATGAAAACTCCTAAACTCTGTGATTATAAAAATGCTCCTCAATTCTGTTTAGATATGAATGAGGAAAAGGTAAAGGGCCAGTGCTATCATAATCACGGCACCATGGCAATAAGTTTTAATGTTAATTAATGTATTCATTTAATTAGTTCATCAATTTATTTATTTAATGTTGAGTACCTAGCAGGTAGTAAGTACCTTCTAAATACTAAATCTTTAAATATTAATATGGCACTTCGCATAATCTTCAGAGGCTGGTCTAGTGGAAGAAAAGAATGTATGAAAAGTAACATAGATGATAAATGCCAAAAGAAAGATCTAGCTGTACAAGGAGCCATGCAAACACGAAGAATGAATGGAGTTTGGCATGGGAGGAAGAGAGAAGGGGAGGACATGGCGGGATTTCCAGAGGAGGTGTCATTTAATCTGGACCTTCCTTATTCTGTGTAATAAAAGAAAAATAAAGGGCACTTAGAGAGAGAAGCTAATCTGAACAAACTCATGGCATACCAATTTTTAAGTACAGCAAATATTTTGATATGACCGGAAGAGGTCAGATTAAGGAATATCAAGAAAAATAAGTTGGTTAGGGCTGGACTATAAGGTGATATATTTTGAGCTGCATTGAGGAATATGTTTTTGCTCATATGGGCAATCAGAAGCTATTAAATATTTAAAACAGAAAATAAACATTGGTGCATATGTATTTTAGAAAAGTAAACAGAGTATATGTGTGGATTGAAAGTGTGAGACCTGGAAGCAGGAAATCTAGTCCGGAGAGACAAGTTCAGGTGGGTAATAGTGAGATCCTAAGTTAGACACTGTTGTGTTAATAGAAAGAAGGGGAAGTTGTAGGAATTTCTTGGTGATCAACTGAACATGACTGGGAAGAAGAGAGGCAACCATAGACAACTGTAGTTTCTAATACCATAGGGATACAAAGGTTTTCGTAAGTAAAGTCTATCATATTTGTCTAAGAAAGTTATATGGGTAATTGAAAGAAAAATTGACTGGTAAAATTTTTGGTATGAAAGTAATTCAAGAAAAGCAGATGTTATTTATATTTTCATTTTAACCCATATTTTATTTGGCCAAAATCCCTTTTAAAAGAACTGAAACACAAAAGTTCATCCTTGTTTGAAGAGTTCCAACTTTCAGAGTAATGTAGAGGCTGAGTCTAGAATGGTGATGATGTTGTTGATACTGGAGACAGTCATTTTAATATTACTCTAGCAGCTCAGATAAAAGGTCAAATATACTGCCAAGTATCAGAGTTTTGAAAGAATAAGTCTCTAAGAGACTAAAATTGAAAATATAGCTGATAACATACTGTAAATTAAGAACTAGAAACTAGGAAGAATGAATCTGGTGAAACCCCATCATTACACTTTATAATGCACAAGATGGTGCATACTGGAGTGTTTGATGAATGCCGCAATATGAGTAAACTTAAAAAAAAATTTAGGGACAAGGAAGGATCTGTTACCCAGGCTAGAGTGCAATTGTGTGATCATAGCTCACTGCAGCCTCCAACTTGGGGGCACAAGCAATCCTCTAGCCTCAACCTCTTGAGTATCTGAGACTACAGGTGCATGCCACCGTGCCGAGTTAAGTTTTTAAATTTTTTTAAAGATGGGGGTCTCGCCATAGTGCCTAGGCTGATCTAGAACATCTGGTCTCAAGTGATCCTCCCATTTCAGTCTCCCAGAGCACTGAGATTACAGGTGTAATTGCCATGCCTGGCCTGAGAAAACTCTAATTCAGAATTAAAACTTTATTCAATATTCTTAAAAATCCATACTAAGTAGAAATCTTCTAAATGTTGTATCACTCCCCAAACTAATACCACTGGCCATGTTTCTATTTTCCTAACTCTTCAATTAGTGCCATCTTTCTGTAAGCTCCATCTTATCCCAGTTTCTATCATGAGCCCATCAAGGATGAGGTATTCTTACCATCTCAGCCTTTTTGTCTCCATTCTGGGGAGGGTTAGCACAACCACAGTATTTAAGCCAGCGACATGTGAGTCTGGGAGCCATCTCAGATTAGTCCCGTCAGCTGTGGACTAGATTCAGATTCTGAATCAAGTGCCTCGGCAATGATTACTTGTGTTGCTCCCAGAATTGCAACTCTTCCTGCACTTTAAGGCTTATTCTCAGAAGTGAGCTTCTCATCTGGGTCCCTGTGTTCTCATCATTCTCCCTTCTGGACTGCAGTGCTCCTTCCCAGAACATGGAGCTGTGTCCCTGAACTCTATTTTGGTGCCTGAAACTCTAATTCCCTGTGTGTAGACAGCTGGGCAATGACCAGCAGCTGCTGCCCCAAGATTACTTGGGCTCTGCCCATCTGCTAGAACCCTTAACTCCTTACTGGGTGCCAACTGCTTTTTTGAACTGTTCTCAATATGTTGGCACTCTCACTTCTCCATGCCCTGCCACCCCAGGACTCCACATTGTTTACCTTCATGCCAGGTACAATCTTCATCCTTTGACTTGTTCCAGTTGATCAGGGATTTGCGCCAGTCCTGATCCCGGTTCCCTTACCCTCTTTACTTTCCTTGGTTTGCTATGTGGAGACTTCATACTTTATCCTATAGCCAAAAAGAAAATGAGCAAGTACAAAAGAAAGGAGAGAGAGTGAGATCAAGAGCGAGAGCGAGAGAGAGAGAAAACAGAGAGAGAGTAGACGGCTTTTAATAAGTTTAAGCATATAATCTACTCTTCTTAATCCCATCCCACAGGACTAGGCCTGCAGTGACAGATTGCCAGGACGCCCTCCTCTGACAAAATTGACCTTTCTTCACAGTCCAAGATGCAGTGGAATTATGGGGCTGTGCGTGGAGCTTTTGTGAGCCTGGCTGCCACTCTTATCAAATGTGACAGGAAGGTCTGGTTCCGCATCCATGGCAAGGTGAGACATGTGGGCAGCAGTTGCTCCATAAAAACGTACTGGGAAGCTACCTTCTACTTATAATCCTGGTTTTGCTTCATGGGGAACAGGTCCTTTCCATTCTAATCTACTTAACACTTCTTTGAATGTTATTCAGGCCCAGTATGGAGAAACAGCAACATGGACGTTGGCGGTGAGAATAGATGAAGCCAACTTATCTCTCAAATAAGGAGACAAGGACTTGGTAGCTAAAAATTGATATACTTAGTTGGCAAAAAGATAGTACATATAGGCTTGATCGTCTGTTAAATATATAAAGATAAGTGGGAGTCCTTGGAGAACATCTTGCATTGTTCTGCCTTCTTCAATTAACAGATAAATGTATGTGACCAATCTGCTAACATAATGTTCTCCTGGGTTAATCCTTATCTAAATGTGACAAGTTGTAATTATCAACAAAGCTGAAGGTCCCATTCATTGTTTTTAAATTACTTTTTAATTATATAATAAAACATGAATATATTATCTGTGTAAGAATTAAAATATTATACATAAGGCTAAAGTGCTATCTGATTATCTCTATCCCATTACTTTTGAAACTGTACATTTATTTTTTGAGGTTAAGTATCTTTCCTCTTCACAATTATTGCTTAGTGTATCCATTTGGTATTTTACAAAAAGTGTTTCTTAAGGACCTCTGGAAAGTTAAATATCCTTCACGATTTTAAGTTTGTTATAGGTAACTCAATTTTGTTTGTTTTGTGATCCCGATAACTTGCTTATATGCAGCTCTGTGGGGGAAATGTCAGAAAGACAGAGGAAGAGGAGGTGACAGCTCACAGCTGGATGTTGTGTTTGGATTTCTCTCCAGAAGCAAAGGAATTCGTGGAGGTAGTGCCTTTGCTAAGGAAAGTACACAGCGACATTCAGTTGACAAAAATCTCAAGTTGACTATTGTATTAGATTTCTAGGGCTGCCTTAACAAAATACCAGAAACTGGGTGGCTTAAAATAACAGAAATATAATCTACTGTCTGGAGGCTAGAAGTCCGAAGTCAAGGTGTTGGCAGGACTGTTCTCCCTCTGAAACCTGGAGGCGAATCTTTTCTAGTCTCTTTCTAGCTTCCGGTGTTTGTTGGTATCTTTGGTGTTCCTTGACTTGTTGCATTACTCCTATCCCCCATCTTCACATGAGATTCTCCCTGTGTCTCTTCACATTGCTTTCTCTCTGGGCATGTTTGTGTTTGTGTCCAAATTTCCTCTTTTGACAAGGACATTAGTTATATTGAATTAGGGCCCATCCTAATGACCTCATCTTAGCTTGATCATACCTGCAACGATCTATTTTCAAATAAGGCCACATTCTGAAGTACTTGGGGTTAGGACTTCAACATATCTTTTGAGGGGTATACAATGCAACACGTAAAAACTAGAAAAGCAAAAACAAGTAAATCAGTTGGCTATAAAAATAAAGTATTTTTATCTAATAAGAGAACCTGAGAGAAAGCGGCCTTTAATTAATAATAAAGCATTCTTGTCCAAAGAAGGGAAGCAATTCTGTTAAGTCTGCATGAAATTAATTAGGATTTTAAAGGGATTCCGATCTCTTGAAAGTCGTATTAAGCATTAAGTGATTGATACCTCAAAAGATTTAATGTTATGGAAAATGGAAAACCATTAAACTACATTATACTATAAAATCATTGTGAAGAGTTCCTATTCCATTACTCAGGTACGAGTAACTTGTGAAGAGCTCAAATATGTCTTTGCTATAATGAATGTTCATTTGTTTTCTTCTGAAAAACTAAACTTAAGGGATGCTATTTTTATTTCAGAAGTTTATGGTAAATTATTAAGTATGTAATTTAGCCTGTTAATTGGTTTCTGAAAAATTTGTGTTTCAGCACAAACTAGACAACAAGATGAATGCACTGATATAAGCCTGAAAGATGTGAATGATGGATTTTGTGCATTGTCAATAAGTCCATTCCATCTTCTAGAGATATGGCACAGTACTCAGGTGTAAATGGATAACTCCCACATTACATTTGGGTGTTGAGTTTACTATGAAGAAATCCTAACTGGCACACCAGCATTTGTTCTGGGCCCCATCAATTTCACAAGCTGTTTTTTTGTTTGTTTGTTTGTTTGTTTTGTTTTTTTAGCAATGCTTTGTTCAGACTTCCTTTCCAAGGAGCCTGGTCACCTTGAACACACTAACTGATATTATATTGGCCTCTAGTTTACAAAAAACTGATTGCAAATATGTTCTTTGTCCACAACATGTGGGGTTTTCACACTGCCATACCACATGCCTAAATACAGAAACTAAGCCAGTTCTAACCTGCATGTCCTGTACGATATGTAGCTTTCATTATGTGAAGTCATCCTTACTGGCCAAATCTGGAATTGTGTCCCACCTTTCTTAAATTCTTGCTTTCTTATACCTCTTGTATTTATTTTTGGTTACCTGGCCCATGAACTTAATCCTTCTTTTAAACCCTGAACACTCACTGTATATTGAATCAGAGCATTTAAGGGGTTAATTTGTCTTATACACCATTTCTGTGGGAAGATATCTGCTGCATTCCAAACAATTTATAGATAGACTTAAAATCACAGTCTGTGGCTATGTTTTAGATTTTTGAGACTTTGATTGGAAAGTCATTCAATGTGAACAAAAGGATACATGATTATGTAAAGAAAGTATAATATGGCAACCAAAGAAACTTAAAGTTGATCTATCATACTCATTTTAATTGGATTTTGTTCTATAGTAATTGGAAGTAAATAGCAAACATCTGATTAAAGTGACTCAAGGTCTTTTACTTTGAAAAAAGAATTTGTGGCCAGGTGTGGTGGCTCACGCCTGTAATCCCAGCACTTTGGGAGGCCGAGGTGGGTGGATCATCTGAGGTCAGGAGTTTGAGACCAGCCTGACCAAGATGGAGAAACCCTATCTCTACTAAAAATACAAAATTAGCCGGGCGTGGTGGCACATGCCTGAGGCTGAGGCCGGAGAATTGCTTGAACCTGGGAGGTGGAGGTTGCAGTGAGCTGAGATCATGCCATTGCACTCCAGCCTGGGCAACAAGAGCAAAACTACACCTCAAAAAAAAAAAAAAGAAAGAAAAAGAAAAGAAAAAAGAATTTGTTCACCTAATCTTGCAGAAAAAAAGAGAAACAAACATAAGGGAGGCTATTCTGATGTGTCTCTGAAGATTCCTGAATGCCCTTTCCCTTTTTTTTCTTTGAGCTAGGATACTACCTAGGATACTTCACTTAAGTGGGGCCTTCCTGGAAAGAGAAAGAAGGGCAAAAATTGTGGCTTGCAGATACCTTCTTCCAGCTAAGTGGAGAAGATAAATGGTGGGAGATTCTTTAGAACAGTTATTTTGATGTCCAAAGGCAAGATCTTGGATATTTAGCCTAAAGCAACCCACTGGCATACTTCCACTTTTCCTCCACAGAGAACCCCCACTTCCTGAAATATTAGCAATCGATTCCTTTTGTTTACCAATACCTTCAGGAATCATTCTCATAGTATATATTAATTTACTTATCTTTGTTTCTTGAGTTAGATACAATGCTCTGGAATTTTGGTGATAGGTGGGGTGCCAAGTCGGGAAATGATTAAGGATGAGTAAAAAATAGTTTTAGAATATCGACCATTTTAGAAGCAGTCAGAATAGGCTGGGATCCTCAGTAGCAAAAGCTGAAGGCATCCCAGTGGGCCACATGAGGTAGTGGGTCCAAGAGAGGGAGCGAAACCCAGTTTAAGCATCTTGCTGTTCTATCTGGTCTGCACCTTCTCAAGTGAGAATTCAGTGCAATTGCCCTTTGAGAAGAAGCAGATGAAGGTGTGTCTAGTCTGAGAAAGGGAGTTTCCTGCACTTTCCTTCACAGCAGGACTAGAAGAGCCATTCTCATGCCCATACCTTCCAGATCTATTTCTTGATTTCCAGTATCTTTTACTAGACTCCCCTGTGACTCTGACATTACTTTCTCATGAAGGAACAGAATAGGGGAGTATTTAGCAGGAAATGACTTCTGGGTGCTGAAATAGTGAATATAGGATTGTTCCTCTTCCAGAGCCCTACAAGCTGCTTATACCTTTTGTGGATGATGGTACAGATTGCCAAGTTTAGTCAACTACAGAGATAAACAGAGAAGTGAGAAAGGAAGGGGGAGGGGGGTGTTGGCTAAAAAACTACCATTGAGTACTATGCTCACCACCCGGGTAATAGAATCACCTGTATCCCAAACCTCAGCATCAAGCAATATACCCATATAACAACCATGCACATATACTGGCTGAATCCAAATTTTTTTTAAATAAGATTTTTAAAAGAAAATAATATAATTTAAATAATTTTTCTTCAAAGGAAAGAAAAGTTAAACCTGCCTCATCAGAACTTTGGGTGTGCAAGTCAAAAATTTAAAAGATATTTTAAAGTCTACAAATCTAATTACGAGCCCCTGTCTCCCTGAGTTGGTGTAAAGTTCAATTTGGAGTTCTGTAGTCTCTGGATTCTCATGAAGGGCCAAAACGTTAAGAAGGCCCCATTGGGCATTGATATGCTCGCCACTGGTTTTATCACCAAGATAACTTCTGTATCAGCCTGCATTTTCTTTCCATGGCTCGTGTTCCAGTGATCTCAATTATGCTTGGGGCATAAAAATTGATAGTTCAATAAATAATTCTTCCATATTGTTAAAAATGTTTTTAGGTGTTAGGTCTTTGAGGAGTACTGCTCCTCAAATATTAAAGACAGTGTGGTATTTATAATATTATCTTAAGCTTTTCCTATAGATTACAATATAGATGATTGGAAAAGCAAATTCACTACATATGGTTTTTAGTTTGTCACTAAATTTACTGTCAGTCTTTTTGAATGGGCGTGGTCACAAATTTAGTTGCTCTTACGTTTGATTCTCTGAAATACTGGAGAATGTTTAATATTTCTTTATCCTCAAATCAATAAAGCCGAATAAGTGTGATATTATGTTGAAATAACCTGCTATGGGCACTGGAGAAAGGAAGCCATAGCTCTGATCCCAGAACTCAGTACAAACTGCACAAGACCATCCCCAACCCAAGTGTCATAAGGGATAGTAATGACCCTTATTGAAGATCTTGCTGTTGGGCCTGTAACTGACCCCCCTGAAATTGTGTTTAAAATGCTGTATTTATTTGCATTTCTTTGGGGAATTCGTTGATAGCTTTTCTTAATATCTCAAAACTCCCATAAGAGCCCTATATAATTGCAATATTTTTCCAAGGGTCCCCCATGCTTAGTGGATTATCATGCCTGATTATGTTACTCAGCACTCTTAAGTGTGAATTTATTCTCAGACAATGATCCTTATAAAACTGATGATTAAATTGGATGAAGCAGCATTATTTTCGCTAGCAGAATCTAGAGGTCTGAAAATGTGCTTGCAGTTCTTGCAGTTGCTGACATGAATTCTTTTGGATTCTGAGGTGATTTAGTGTTTTTGTCCAGAAAACAAGAATCACATATTGTTCATCTTTCTAAGCCATAAAAAAGAATTGTGATGCATAACGATATTAAAATTCTATGAAAGAAACATATGACTGCAAAGTATTTCTGTTACCAAGGACTCAGAGTCACACCTCTGTTATTTTGCTTTTATGCCAAGGAGAACAAGGTCATTAAATGCAGCCCAGACCCACATATTGCATTCCCACTGGCTCAAGAGGATGCTGCCTGCAAAGAATGTAGGACAATTTAGTAAAACTGTTAAGAGCTAGCTGAAAAAGAATTTTAAAATGCAGAGGGTAATTTGACAAAATTGAAATCTTTTATAATAGCACTGCAAAGATTAAAATAATTGTAGCACAAGATAATTCTGTCACACTTTATCATTCTGTTCTTAACATCTGGAGATGTTATGAGGTAGATTTGGCATTCTACTATAATTTCTACCAGCATGTGTTATTATTTCTTTCCATCAACCCTGCAAGGCAAAGCTCACCCAAGTGCATTAAGTCATTCTCTGGCACATGATTTCTTTCAGTTATTTTAGAGCAGGAAATTTAATGGTACTCTAGCACTCTCCTGTGACCAGCTGAGCATAACACCTCCAGGCACTCTATGCCTTCGTCTCATAAGTAAGCTTAATGACATTAATTTGGCAAAGCAATCTAAAATTCTTTATAATCTGTCTCTCTCCTCTTTACTCATGCTTGCATAGGTATATACACCCACATCTGACTGAGTTATAAAATGCTTTCTAGTTGAAAGCAAAATATTTTCCTTTCATTGACACTGGAATGATAATTACTGCACTGTTGGTCATTAAACCAATAACTCTATAGGGAAATACCGCGATGAATGAACAAATTCCTTCTAAGACTTTTAATCAAAATATCTTCAATGAATATGAGTATGTGTCATAGTAAAGAATATGAGTATGTGTCATAGTAAAGTTGTTATTGAATTGCACATGTACATTTAAGATATTTACTATAACGTGGCTGGTCTATTTTCAAATAGCAACAAAAGCAAGATACAGAAAATGATGATTCATTATTCTGCCAAAGTCCTAGAGTGCTGAAATTTGCAGCCTTAGATTTAAAAAAGCAATATTCTCAGGCATTCTGTAAATACTCAGTGAGCTGAAAATGGGCCCAATTTCTTCCACACTTCCAATAGTCTGTTATCTTACTCAGATTTTATATAGCAAAAAAAAAAAAAAGGGTGGGGGGTGACTCTGCTACTGTGGAAAGCAGCTTGGAGATTTCTCAAAGAACTTAAAAAGATAACTACCATTTGACCCAGTAACCCTATTACTGGATGTATATCCAAAAGAAAACAAATTGTTCTAACAAAGAAACACATACACTCACATGTTCATCACAGCATTATTCACAATAACAAGGACATGGAATCAACCTAGGTGCATCAATGGTGGGTTGGATAAAGAAAGAGTGGTATACATACACCATGGAATACTACACAGCCATAAAAAAGAATGAAATCATGTCCTTTGAAGCAACATGGAAAGAGCTGAAGGCCATTATCCTAAGTGAATTAACACAGAAACAGAAAACCACATACTACATGTTCTCACCTATAAATGGAGCCTAATATTGGGTACTCATGGACATAAAGAGAACAATAGAAGCAGGAACTACTAGAAAAGGGAAGGAGGAATGGGGATAGGGTTGAAAAACTCATTATTGGGTCACAGGATCATTTGTACCCCAAAACTCAGCATCACACAGTTACCCAGCTAACAAACCTGCACATGTACCCTCCGAATCTGAAATAAAAATTGGAAAAAATATGGCTTTACAAAAGTACACCTAGATAGGAAGAATAAGTTCTAGCATTGAATAGCACTATGGGGTGACTGTAATTAACAAAAATTAATTGTGTATTTTCAACTAGCTAGAAGAATAGATTTTGAACATTCCCAACACAAGGAAATAATACATGCTTGAGGTGATGAATATACTAATTACCCTGATTTGAGATCGTTACATATTGTATACCTGTGTCAAAATAGCACACTGAACCTTGTAAATATGTATAATTATGTGTCAATTGAAAATAATAAAAGCAAAAAAAAGTAAGCCAAAAGTGACTTTAGGTTAGTTAACATTTCATCAACTTTTCTATACTAACAAATCTAAAAATGTAAAATAAAAAATACATACATTTAGTCATCAAATTACTTTGTCTCTTGTTTCTTTTCTAGGTAGGAATAGGAATGCCAAAAAGAGAAAAAAAATGATTAGTTTTCTTTTTATTATTTGGGTCCCTATAGAAATGAATAATTTAAATAACTATTGTGATACTGTGCTTATTAAATGAGCCAGCTGACTCATTTCTTGATGAAATGAAAAGAAGAAGACAGAAGCTGCTTCTTTTCCATTTCATCCATACCTCTCATCTCAGCCTTTCATGATTTCATGCCAGAGACAACTGCTTTAGCTTTTAGGATATCACTCTTCACTTCTCCCCTCTCTAATTTCTCCATTACTACATTATTCCCATTGTGTCACTTAGCAACAAACACCTGCAATAATAATACCTGCCATGACCTAAAAGATGGAAATGTAACTGTTTTTGGCATTTTAAATGTACAGCTAATTTTTCAATACTGTCTACCATGGCCATCTTCCTTAAATCCATCAGAATTAAATGTCTGCCGAACTCCACATTCATTCCTGATTTGTGCAATATTACTCATAAACATCTCACCTAGAATGCTTTCTCTCTGCTTATCTCATCTTAGCTATTTCTTATCCTCCTTCCTCTGGCTGATCAGATTCTCTCTTCCTGACAAAACCTTTCCTCAAAGTTCAATCCAAAGTGATTTTTCCATAGTGAATTTCATTGGTCTGTTTTCCTCTTTAGGTAATCCATCATATTCTGTATTATGATATTTAAGAGATTAGGGAATTTTATTCACCTGAATTTCAGAAGAGCTGTTCTTCTTACAATAAGTGATCAGAGCAGGGAAATGAAAGCACATCTATGTGGACTCTGTTGGTGGGGAAGGGTGAGAAACTGAGTGTGAGGAGCAGAGGACAAGAGGCAGAGCAGGAGAGTGACATGGTTTGGCTGTGTCCCCACCCAAATCTCATCTTGAATTGTAGCTCCCATAATTCCCATGCATTGTGGGAAGGACCCAGTGGGTGATAATTGAATCACGGGGGCAGTTTTCCCCATACTTTTATGGTAGTGAATAAGTCTCACGAGTTCTGATGGTTTTTATAAGGGGAAATCCGTTTTGCTTGATTCTGATTCTCTTTTTGCCTGCTGCCATGGAAGACGTGCCTTTCACCTTTTGCCATGATTGTGAGGTCTCCCCAGCCACATGGAATTGTGAGTCCACTAAACCTCTTTTTCTTTATAAATTACCCAGTCTCCAGTATGTCTTTATCAGCAGCATAAAAAACAGACTAATACACAGGGGATGAGGGAAACGTGCTGATGAGGGGACTTCATGGATAGAGAGGAGAGCTGCCATGAAAGTGAAGTACTAGAGAGAATTAAACCATAAGAAGATATTTAGAATATTGTGTTGAGAAAAGCAGTATGTTATCTAATTTTCTATACTATTTCTAGAAGAAAGACTACTAGAAGGGTATTATTTTTCAAGGTTAGCAAAATGAAATATGAGGTGTTTTGAATACACTGAGACTAGACACAAAAAGATGTAGGTTTATAAATAAGACATAAGATGTATTGGTAACCTTTAAATTTTTTATTTGAAGGAATATTTAAATATTTTTATGAGTTTATGATGTCATTCTTATTTACACTCTTGAGAGGAGAAAATGTATATATTTTGTTATCTTAGAATATGTCATCTACAGAATAGGACTAATAATATAAGTTTTTCTTGAGTGCTTCTGTGGAGAGTCCAGAAAACTTTTTTGAATAAAAGGTTTCTCAATGTCAAAGTTACTTCAGAAATAGAGTTTTGTTATGCAAATTTTAAAAATATACTTAATGACTCAAGGAGATGTCAACCTACCACTTTTGACTCAAGGAGATGTCAACCTACCACTTTTTTTTTTTTTTTTGAGTCATGCTCTGTCGCCCAGGCTGGAGTGCAGAGGCCCGATTTCGGCTCACTGCAACTTCCGTCTCCCAGGTTCAAACGATTCTCCTGCCTCAGCCTCCTAAGTAGCTGGGATTACAGGCGCACACCACCACGCCCTGCTAATTTTTGTATTTTTAGTAGAGACGGGGTTTCATCATGCTGGTCAGGCTTGTCTCGGACTCCTGACCTTGTGATCCGCCCACATTGGCCTCCCAAAGTGCTGTGGTTACAGGCATGAGCCACCGCGCCGGCCTCAACCTAACACTTTTAATTGCATGTGCATGTGTGTGTGTGTGTGTGTGTGTGTGTGTGTGTTTTCCTGGCCTTAAAGCTTAAGGGACAGCTTAGTTAAAATATCCAAAAAAGAATTAGGAAGCATATAATCTGCTCCTTTAGAAGAAGAGTTAGAATAAAGAGAGGCGGTAGTTGATAACATCAATTATGAGTTCCTTATGACATTTTTATTTTAATTCCCTTATTCAAATACCAATGCTTCTGGAGTCTATTCTGAACACATTGTGCCTAAGATGGAAGAATCTTCCCCCAAAAATGCAACTAGAGCATCAAGATCCATTTTTATGACTGAAAGCCAGACAGTGGAGTACAGTGGGTAGTTTCCTATGGTGGGTAATTTTGTGTAAGAAAAATAAAAATTTTTCCATCTTCTTTTGTTAATGAAACAGTGAGTCATGGTCTAGGAGTCTGAGGAATAGAAAGAAGTGGGAAGAACCAGAATCTATTCCTGGACCCGCCCCTGATTCATGGAGTATATTTGGACAAATCTCTAAATACTTCTCTGTTTTAGCATTGTTAGAACATTGATTTATTAATTCACTCATTCATGCATGCAACATTAGTGAGTAACTGTAAGGTGCCCACATATGAAGATGAAAAGCCATAGTTCCTGAAACACACAGTCTGGGAAGAGTCAGATATGTAAACAAGTCATTACAATTCCTTGTGATAGGAATATAATACATATCCTCAAGGTACCGTGATGGGACAAAGATGTATGTTGACTAGGACATGCTAGGGTGGGGTTCAGAGAAGAAGAAACACCTAGGTGGGTCTTGAAAAGTAGGTTAAAGTTTATTAGAAGGGTTTGGGAAAAGAGGATTCCAAGTACAGGCAACAATATATGCAAATACATGGAAACATAACAGAACATTGCGGAGGGTACTGTAAATAGTTTAATATTAAAGCATAAGGGGGGTGGGCGGAGGCAATGGAGGATGAAATTGGGGAGAGAAAACAGTGCCAAATATTGGAGGACCTTATATGCTATGCAAAGAGTTTGGTTGAATGCTTTAATCACGATAATAATATAATCTTATTTCTGTTTTTCAGGAAGATTGCTGGTCATATGACAGCTAGATGGCAAGGTGCAGCTAGAGTTAGGCAAGCCATTTAGAAGTAAATTGCAATAATCCAGGCAGATGATGATAAGACCCTGCATCAGAACAATGGGAACGAAGAGGCTGAAGCAGATACTAATGATGTTAAGGAAGTAAAATGTAAAAGAAATCTGTAGAACCATTAGAAATGGAAGGAATAAGGGGAATCTGGGAGAATACCTCCCAGATTTCTTGCTCAGTTGACAGGTTACTCGCTTATGTCATTAATTTATTACTAGAAGAAAGATAATTAATAATATTTATGTGTGTTGAACTTTAGGTGGGTAAGCAAAAAAATGTCTTCGGAAATTTCATTTTTATTTCTCAATAGAATTTTCTTTTTCTTAAATTATACTTTAAGTTCTGGGGTACATGTGCAGAACGTGCAGGTTTGTTACATAGGTTTACACATGCCATGGTGGTTTGCTGCACCCATTAATCCGTTCTACATTAGGTATTTCTCCTAATGCTATCCCTCCCCTACCCCCTAACCCTATGACAGGCTCTAGTATGTGATGTTCCCCACCCTGTGTCCATGTGTTCTCACTGTTCAACTACCACTTACCAGTGAGAACATGTGGTGTTTGTTTTTCTGTTCTTGTGTTAGTTTGCTGAGAATGATGTTATTTTCTAAAGATTAACCAGTACATTTTCTAGAGTCTGGAGTGAGTCCAATGAATTTTATATTTACACATTTTCTCTCATAGAAGGTTTACCAATGGTCTGTTTCTAAAACTTCCTTTCTGTTCACTTTTTTCTCTTTAATTTTGGTCTTACAGGAAATGACTGTGTGGCAATACAGAATTATTACTGAAAAATTTGGAGGATGACACCTACAAATAACTTCATAAGAAAACACTCTGGACTTTCACACTGCCATTAATTGTTGTTAATTTTTTAAAAAGGAGTTTCTTTTGATTGTTGTTGCTATACTAAAAGGGAAATGTCAGCACTATTTGCCCATAGTTATACAAATTCTTCTAAATGAGTGGGTTTATCGTGTTCAAAATGAGATGATGTATGATACTGACTTAGGTTTTTCATGATTAAAAATAATTAATCCTGGTCAAAGGCTATTATTTTTGTCCAAGGTAGAAAAGAAGAAAGGGAGGAGAGAGGGAAAGCTAAATAGTGAAAGAGAGAAATAACAAAAACCTCTCTACACCATATATGAAAATTGAATGAGAGGTTTATATTCTAATATTATTATTATTTTCTGGGTATTTTTGTATTTCTTGTTTACCCTCTGGAAAAAGAGTTCTGATTTAACAATTTCTCTTTGAACATCTTTTGTCAGTAATCAGTAATCAAGCTGACTTGAGTTGATTGCTCCAAATAAAGTATTTCTGTCAATTTGGAATTAATTGTGAAAAGGCATGTGATGCCATAACACAATTCCATCCTTTAATCTGACTACAAGAAAGAAAGCAAATCATGGCTAATTCAATCCATAATAAGCGGACCACATTTCCTAAAGGGCATTATATTTATATACTCCAGTGTGTATTACATATACTAAACTTTCAAAAATACCATCAGAAAGACTTGTGTTTTTAGTCAAAAATTAAGCTAAAAATAAATATCTATTTTAAGAATTGCCAGACAAAATATCTCTTTATATTTTCCAATTCCACATTCTTAAAGCATCAGCTTTCCTTTTTCTGCATCATTACATCAGTTTTTGAATGCAATCAAGCTTCCATTATTTAAGATCTGATTAGCAAATTCTATTACTCCTGTTCTCTGTTCACCTCCTTCATCTCGCCTCTGAAGAACATCACTATGATTTGATGAAAAAGTAGAAAAATATGAAGTCAAATATTAATCAGTCTAATCTGCAATTTTAATAGTCCTGGAAAAATATTTGGTGTGGAGGACTTTGAAACTAAATATTAAGGTTAAGAAAAAAAAGGATAAAAGAGAAAAAAAGAAAGCAAAAAAACCCTAAAACCAAAAATTAAAACCACCACATTTGCCTTAATATAAGAACTTGAGTTATTGTTTGCTCACCATATGCGATCAGCATAAATAGAGAGTTGGCTTTAACTAGTATGAGTGGAAAAGTATGTTTTTAATATGAAACGTTCTGTTCAATAGAAGCTATTGTCCTTTAGCTTCTCTGCTTTTTAACATATCACATAAGTGTAAATTCTTATGAAAATTATACATTGACCAAACAATGCGATTATTACAAAAACTAGTAAGTTACTTATTTAATATTTATTTATTCTCTCTCCTATACCTTTCTCTTGTTTTTTCTTCCTTTCTGTCTACCTACCTGCTTTACTTTTTTAAAAAATGTAAAGGATAATATTTTTCTAACATTTGTTTACTTCCAATGGATAAGGTTTAATTAATTTTAAGAACATATGGACACGGAGGGGAACATCACACACTAGGGCTGTTGGGGGCGGGGGTGGGGGGCGGCGGCGGGGGTGGAGAGCATTAGGACAAATACCTAATCATGAGGGTCTTAAAACCTAGATGACGGGTTGATAGGTGCAGCAAACCACCATGGCACATGTATATGTAAGTAATAAACCTGCACGTTCTGCACATGTATCCCAGAACTTAAAGTAAAATTTTAGAAAATGTAAAAACTTTAACAAATGAACACAGTAAAATACTATTAAATGCTGTGAACAATGGAAGTAAATTCTGCTGGTAGGAGAATTTCCAGTTATAACTAATCTAGACCTATAATATTTTGGTAGGTTTAATTGAATATAAGGGTATTGAAACTTCGAGTTTTATAGTAATAGATTATTATATTTTTAGCAGATTGTAATACCAGAAGTTGTAACATATAATTTAATTTTATAACTTATTTTTTATTCAATGCAATCAGAAAGATTTTTTAAATTGGCTTTTTACAGAGATTCTTTTTAAGCCTCTCTTAAGTATAATTTTCCTGAAGATTTTATAGTACATTATAGTTTACTACAATATGTCTTATATATTACTATATTGCTACAGTATATTATTTAAAACTAGCTTTTTTTCTATTCTGAAGTTAAAAGAATCAATTCAAATTATATATAACTAAATGGCTTTATCACTAAGTGATAAAGAGCATATGGTGTTAGCTAGTTCAACATTATCAGGTGAAGAAAAGGGTGATAAAAATAATAGCTTTACTCAGAAAAGATTAATGAGAAAATGAGGTTGCCCTGACAAAATGATTTGGATTTTCTCACACCTTTTAAAAAATGCATTTAATCATTTTTATCTGAGTCTATGTTATTTATAAAAAGAAACTAATTAGAATAGCTCTCCAAAACAACATTGTTAATGCCTCAGTGGTTTTTTCATATAATCAAAGTTGTACAAACATGCTTATGATGGAATCATCTATTTCTAAAGGTTTAAATGTTGTAATGATAAAATTGTGTTTAGACTTGAAATCTGGTAAGCTAATTCAAGTTAAGAAAAATACTATCTGTAAGAAAACTTAAAATAAAAATATGATTTTTTTCATAAAAGCTGATGACAAAAAAATTATATTCAATTCCAGCAGGAAAAGCCCACCATTGCAGCAGGGCTTGAATAAACCCACTCTGTGGGTTGTCTATCCTATTTATAATTGTTTTTGTTGCATTTACTTTTGGGTTCATGAAGTCTTTGCCTAAGCCAATGTCTAGAAGGGTTTTTCCAATGTTATCTTCTAGAATTATTATAGTTTCGGATCTTAGATTTAAGTTCTTGATACATCTTGAGTTGACTTTTTTGTGAGCTGAGAGATGAGGACCCAGTTTCATTCTCCTACATGTGGCTAGCCAGTTATCCCAGGTGTCCTTTCCCCACTTTATGTTTTTGTTTGCTTTGTCAAAGATCAGTTGGCTCTAAGTATTCGGGTTTATGTCTGGGTTCTCTATTTTGTTCCATTGGTCTATGTGCCTATTTTTATACCAGTACCATGATGTTTTGGTGACTACAGCCTTATAATATAGTTTGAAATCAGGTAATTTGATGCCTCCAGATTTGTTATTTTTGCTTAGTCTTGCTTTGGCTATGCAGGCTCTTTTTTGGTTCCATATGAATTTTAAAATTTTTTTTCTAATGCTGTGAAGAATGATGGTGGTATTTTGATGAGAATTGTGTTGAATTTGTAGATTGCTTTTAGCAGTATGGTCATTGCGACAATATTAATTCTACCCATCCATGAGCATGGGTTGTGTTCCCATTTGTTTGTGTCATCTATGATTTCTTTCAGGAGTGTTTTGTAGTTTTCCTTGAGAGGTCTTTCACCTCCTTAGTTAGGTATATTCCTAAGTATTTTTTTTTTGCAGCTATTGTAAAAAGGGTTGATTTCTTGATTTGATTCTCAGCTTGGTCGCTATTGATGTATTGCAGAGCTACTGATTTGTATACATTAATTTTGTATGTAGGAACTTTGCTGAATTTATTTATTAGTTCGAGGAGCTTTCTGGAGGAGTCTTTAGGATTTTTGAGGTACATGATTATATCGTCAGCAAAAAAATGACAGTTTGACTTCCTTTTTACAGAGGAAATAAAGGGTATTTGGATGCCTTTTATTTCTTTCTCTTGTCTGGTTGTTCTGGCTAGGACTTCCAATGCTATGTTGAAGAGGCATTGTGAGAGTGGGCATCCTTGTCTTTTTCCAGTTCACAGAGGGAATACTTTCAACTTTTCCCCATTCAGTATTATGTTGGCTGTGGGTTTGTCATAGATGGCTTTTATTACATTGAGCTGTGTCCCTTGTCTGCCAATTTTGCTGAGGTTTTTATTCATAAAGGGATGCTGGATTTTGTTGAATGTTTTTTCTGCATCTATTGAGATGATTATGTGATTTTTGTTTTTAATTCTGTTTATGTGGTGTATCACATTTATTGACTTGAGCATGTTAAACCATCCCTGCACCCCTGTTATAAACCCAGTTGATCATGGTGGATTATCTTTTTGTTATGTTGTTGGATTTGGTTAGCTAATATTTTGTTAAGGATTTTAGCATCTATGTTCATCAAGGATATTAGTCTATAGTTTCCTTTTTTAGTTATGTCCATTCCTGGTTTTTGGTATTAGGGTGATACTGGCTTTATAGAATGATTTAGGGCGGGTTCCTTCTTTCTTGATCTTGTGGAATAGTGTCAAAAGAATTGGTACTAATTCTTTGAATTTCTGGTAGAATTTTGCTGTGAATCCATCTGATCCTGGACTTTTTTTTTGTTTGTAGTTTTTTAATTGCTAGTTCAATCTTGCTGCTTATTATTGGTCTGTTCAGGGTATCTAATTCTTCATAATTTAAGCTAGGAGGGTTGTATCTTTCCAGGAACTTATCCATCTCTTCTAGGTTTTCTAGTTTATGTACATAAATGTGTTCATAGTAGCTTCAAATGAACTTTTTGTATTTCTGTGGTTTCAGTTGTAATATCTCCCGTTTCATTTCTTATTGGATTTTCTTTCTTCTTTTATTGGTTAACCTTGATAATAGTCTATTACTTTTACTTATCTTTTCAAAGAACCAGATTTTTGTTTCATTTATCTTCGGTTTAAGAACTGCTTAAAGAAGCTCTAAGTCTTGAAACAAATCCTAGAAACACATCAAAACAGAACCTCTTTAAAGCATAAATCTTACAGGACCTATAAAACAAAAATATGATTTAAAAAACAAAAACAAAAAGCAAAAAACAAAGGTACACAGTCAACAAATAGTACAATGAATGGAATGGTACCTCACATCTCAATACTAACGTTGAATGTAAATGGCCTAAATGCTCCACTTAAAAGATACAGAACTGCAGAATAGATAACAATTCACCAACCAATTATCTGCTGCCTTCAAGAGACTCACCTAACACATGAGTACTCACATAAACTTAAGGTAAAAGGGTGGAAAATAACATTTCATGCAAATGGACACCAAAAGCAGGCAGGAGTAGCTATTCTTAGACAAAAGAAACTGTAAAACAACAGCAGTTAGTAAAGACAAAGAGGACATTATATAATGGTAAAAGGGCTTGTCCAACAGGAAAATATCACAATCCTAAACGTATATGCACTATGCTGGAGTATATGCTGACACTGGAGCTCCCAAATTTATAAAACAATTAGTAATAGACCTAAGAAATGAGACAGACAGCAACACAACAATAGTGGGGGACTTCAATACTTCACTGATAGCACTAGACAGGTTATCAAGACAGAAAGTCAACAAAGAAACAATGGATTTCAACTATACCTTGGAACAAATGGACTTAAGACATATATACAGAACAGCCTATCCAACAACCACAGGATATCCATTCTATTCCACAGCATGTGGAACTTTCTCCAAGATAGACCATATTATATGCCACAAAATGAGCCTCAATAAATTTTTAAAAATTGAAAGTATATCAGGCACTCTCTCAGACCACAGTGGAATAAAACTGGAAATTGACTCCAAAAGGAATCTTCAAAACCATGCAAATTCATGGAAATTAAATAATTTGTTCCTGAATGGTCATTGGGTCAAAAATGAAATCAAGATGGAAATTAAAAAATTCTTTAGTCACAATAGTGACACAACATATCAAAACCTCTGGGATACAGCAAAGGCAGTGCTAAGAGGAAAATTCATAGCCCTAAATGACTACATCAAAAAGACTGAAAGAACACAGACAGACAATCTAAGGGCACACCTCAAGGAACTAGAAAATGAGAACAAAGCAAACCCAAACCCAGCAGAAGAAAGGAAATAGCCAAGATCAGAACAGAACTAGGTAAAATTGAATTCTTTATTACAATACTTATTATTTAAGTTCTTTATAGATTCTGGATATTAGACCTTTGTCAGATGCAGAGTTTTTGAATATTTTCTCCCACTCTGTAGGTTGTCTGTTTTTGTTGTTGGTAATTTCTTTTGTTTTGCTGTGGAAAGCAGTTTGGAGATTTCTCAAAGAACTTAGAATTACCATCCAACCCAGCAATCCCGTTGATGGGTATATAGCCAAAAGAAAACAAATTGTTCTATTGAAAAGACACATGAATCTATATGTTCATTGCACCATATTCATGATAGCAAAGACATGGAATCAACCTAGGTGCCTAGCAGTGGTGGACTGAAAAAAGAAATGTGGTACATATACACTACGGAATACTACACAGCCATAAGAATGAAGTCATTGTCCTTTGCAGCAACATGGATGGAGCTGGAGGCCATTATCCTAAGTGAATTAACACAAGAACAGAAGACTAAATACCACATGTTCTCACATAAATAGGAGTTAAACATTGAATACACATAGACATAAAGATGGGAACAGCAGATACTGGGGACTGCTATACAGGGAAGGAAAAGAGGGGGGCATGGGCTAAAAAACTATGTACTGGGTACTATTCTCAGTACCGGGTGATGGATCCTTTGAAATCCAAACCTTAGCATCACACAATATACCTTGTAACAAACCTGCACATGTACCCTTTAATCTATAATAAAAGTTGAAATTAACAAAAATAATTATTGTTAATAAGAATAACAAAAATAATTGACAAAATTTCTGAAAACAGATGAACAAAAAAGTTCCCTTTCTCTCCAAGACTTGACTTAAATGACATGGAAAATACAAATAGAAGAAAGCTGTTGTCATTAGTAGACGCTCAGAACAATATGCCATCCACATACCACAGACATTAAAGAATATTGTCTCTATATAAGATAAGATAGATGGGACAAGATAATTAAGGGTAAGAAAACAGTGTGTTTCCTGGTGAGGCAGACAGGGGATCATCACTGAAAACTTGTAACTTTTCCTAATTTGAGTGATAAAGGATGGAGAAAAGTACAGGCCAGGAGATAGATGAGAGATGCTAATTTCCAGGGAGAGGCCTATAGACAGCAAACAATAACCCATGGGAGGCAAATTTCTTTCTCAAGAGTCTAATCACTGACCTGAGGGGACTTTCTAATACGGCAGGCATCACTACCCCATGGGAGGTGAGGCAGCGCAAGGTTGTTTCCTGCATGCAAACACTGAACCAAGCAAACAAACTCTTATGCCTTTCCCCCCGATAAGGGAAATAATGAATGCAACTTCAGGCCTTGGCTGTCACCCACAAGCTTCTAGATTACATACAGAAAACAGAAACTTACAGAAAGGAGCATAAAATTAGAGAATAATAAGAGCTTACAAGAAAGATTTCTCACACATTTGGGAAAATGTCCTGACTCACCTTGATCTCTCCTCAAACAGAGTGAGAAAAACTAATGTGCCACAGCTAGCTTGTACTGGCTTCAAAGAGCCAATTGTTTGCTTTTTAGGAATAGTGCAAGCCTCTTTTTGTCATGTCAGCAGTTTGAAGTCAGCTATTATGGAGTTGTAAAGTACAGTAATAACCAAAATGAAAAATTCTCTACAGAGGCTCAAGAGTAGATTTGAGCAGACAGAAGAATCATCAATCTTGAAGATAGATAAAAAAAGATTAGGCAGTCTGAAAAACAGAAAGAAAATGAAGAAATATGAGAAAAGATTCTCAGATGATTTTGAGACAACATTGAATGCACCAACATATGTGTAATGGGAGTACCAAAGGAGAGGAGAGAGGGAAAAGGGCAAAAAAAAAAAAAAAAAAAAAAATACGTGAAGAAGTAATGCCATTTACAATTTTGTTAAAAGAATTAAGTACACAGGAATAAACTTAGGGAAAGAAGTGCACAGCTTTTATACTAAAAATTATAAAACTTTGTTGCATGAAATTAAATAACTAAATTAATGGAAACACATCCTATGTTTATGGATCAGAATACTTTACTATTGCTAAAATAGCAATACTCCCCAAATTAATCGGCACATTTAACATAATTGCTATCAAAATTTCCAGAAATGGAGAAGTTGATTATAAAATTTATTAAAAAGCAAAGGACCCGGAATAGCCAGAATGATCTAGAAAGAACAAAGTTGATGGACTCACACTTCCCAAGTCCTAAACTTACTACAAAGCTAGAGTAATCAAGACAGTGTGGCTGGATGCAGTGGCTCACACCTGTAATCCCAGCATTTTGGGAGGCTGAGGCAGGTCAATCATTTGAGGCCAAGAGTTTGAGACCAGCCTGGCCAACATAGTGAAATCCCATCTTTACTAAAAATACAAAACTTAGCTAAGCATGGTGGCCCATGCATGTAATCCCAGCTACTCGGGTGGCTGATGTGGGAGAGTCACCTGAGCCTGAAGAGTTGAGGCTGCAGTGAGCTGAGATTGTGCCACTGCACTCCAGCCTGAATGACAGAGAGAGACCCTGTCTCAAAAATAAATACATAAATAAAAAAGAGAGTATGGCTCTTGTGTTCATATGGACATATAGATCAATGAAATAGAACCAAGACTCTAGGAGTGAACCTTTATATTTGTCGTCAATTGCTTTTTGACAAGGGTGCCAAGACAACTGAATGGGCACAAATAGGCTTTTTAACAAATGGTTCTGGGACAACTGGATAACTACATGCAAAAGAATTAAATTGGGTCCCCTACTTTATTCACACCATATGCAAAAATTAACTCAACATGGATTATAGAACTAAATATAAGAGCTAAAACTATAAAACTCTGAGGAGAAAACAAGAGTAAATCTTAGGACCTTGGATTAAGCAATTTTTCTTAGGCATGACACCTAAAATATAAATAACAAAAAAATAGATAAATTGAACTTTATCAAAATTAAGAACTTTTGTGCCTCAAAGCACACTATCAAGAATATGAAAAGACAACCCATACAATGGGGAAAATTATTTGCAAGTCATATACATAATAAGAGTCTAGTATTCAGTATATACATATATAAAGAACTCTACAATTCAATAGAAAAAAAACCCAATTTTAAAATTGACAAAGCATTTGAAAATATTTTCCCAAAGAAGACATACAACTGGCCAATAGGCATAGGAAAAAAATGTGTAATATCTTTATTCACTAAAGAAATGAAAATCAAAACCACAGTGGGATGCCATTTCACACCCACTAAAATGGCTAAAATCAAAAATACAGACAATAACCAGTGTTGATGAAGATGTGGAGAAATTGCAACCCTCATGCATTGCTAGTGGGATTGTGAAAATGTTGCAGCCACTTTAGAAAATACAGTTTGGCAGTTTCTCAAAATGTTAAACATAGATTTATCATTAGTCCAAGCAAATGTATTCTTAAATATATACTCAAGAGAAATGAAAACATGTTAATAACTAAACTTGTACATTAACATATATGATATTAATCATAATATCCAATAAGTGAAAACAACCCAAATGTCCATCAAATGATGAACGGATTTTTATAAATGCATCTTATTTGTACAATAGTGTATTATTTGGCAATAAAAATAGGGAAATGGTATTACATGCTATTGCACGAATGAATCTTGATACATCAAGCCACCCACAAAGGAACACGTGTATTATTGCATTTATATGTAACGTCCAAAGTAGGCAAATCTATAGAGACAGAATAGTGGATTACTTGGTTGCTTAAGTCTTGGAGGTGCCGGGGTGGGGAATGCCTCCTAATGGACATAAAGTTTTTTTGGAGGGTGTTGAAAATGTTTTCAAATTAGATTGTGATGATGATTATTGTACAACTCAGTGAATACACTAAAAACCATTTAATTGTACACTTTAAATGGATGAATTTTATGGTATGTGAAGTAGATCTCAGTAAAGGTATTTTTTTAAAAAATAAGGAAGAAAGAACATTTTTCTGAAGAGAATTTTAGTGGTGATATTGAAAATATGACAACTGATGTTATAGGCACTGATTATTGAAAGAGAAGATGGCCTCAGCTCTGAGCTGGAACCCGGAGGACCCCTGCTGGCATAGCCATTAACTATTTTGGAACAGGTAGGTTTTCCAGGGATTACAGACAGAAGCAATTTGCCAGTGCACACAAGTATAGGCCCACAATCCTCAGGCTAAATTTTTTAGAGCCAGATGTGTTTCAGAATTCAGAATTTTTCAGATCTTATAAAGATATCATGGCTACTATATTCAACTACCAAGTTATAGAAAGTACAGGGGCTCAAGGAACAGCTTAAACTTTACCATGAATATTCAATCAGCAAAATTTAGGCTGTGGGACAATCTATAAGACAAATGCCTGGATGTCTTTAATAAATACCTTACGAAGTTAAAACAAAAAAGATGGAGAGAAAACTATTGCTTTTAAAAGGCTTGAGATAAATTAACCAATGACAATTAAATGAACCCACACACTCCCAGCCTCCCAGGGACCTCTCTCCATAAGCCATCCTCTATCTCTCTCTTACTTTCAAGTTCTCTCTCCAATTAGATCCTTTCCATCAGCAATTAAAATGCTCAAAGCTTTTCGATCTTTAAAAAGCACTCTTCACCACATCTCATCCTGACATCTTATTAGTTGCTAGGTTTCTTAGTCTGTTTTCTGTCCCTTTTAACAGAATATCTGAAACTAGATAATTTGCAAAGAAATGGAATTTATTTCTTGCAATTCTGGAGGCCTGGGGATACGAGGTTAAGAGGTACATCTCGTGAAGGTGTTTCTGCTGGTGAAGACTCTCTGTTGTGTCCTGAAGTAGCACAGAGCATCACATGGTGAGAGGATTGAGCATTATAATATGCTCACTCAGGTTTTTTCTCTTATTACAAAGCCACCAGTTCCCCTCCCATAATAACCCATTTGTCTATTAACCCATTAATCTATTAATCCATTAATGGATTAATCTATTTATGATCCAATACCTGTTAAGGGCTCCACTTCTCAGTACTGCCACATTGGAGATTAAGTTTCAACATGAGTTTTGGAGGGGACATTCAAACCGTAGCACTACATCTCGGCATCTCTTTCATGCGAATGTCTCTTAATCTCCATCTTTACTGCACTTCACTTAGTTTGGACTGCTATGGTTTTTACCTGAATATATAGTTTCTATACAGATTTGGACTGCTATAGTTTTTACCTGAATATGTAGTTTCTATACAGATTTCCTGTCTTTTGGTCTTGCTCCCTGCTATGAGCTGAAGAGTGTCCCCTCAAAATTCATATGTTGAAACCCTAACCACTAAAAAGATGGTATTTAAAAGTAGGGCCTTTGAGAGGTAATTGGGTTTAGATGAGGTAATGGGATTAGTACCCTTATAAGAAGAGCAAGAGAGACCAGAATTTGCTCTTTCTCTCTTCATCATCCAAGGACACAGCAAGAAGTCCACCATCTGCAATCCAGGAAGAAAGCTCTTACCAGGAACTGAATCAGTAGGCACCTTGCTCTTGAACTCAGCCTTCAGAACTATGAGAAATAAATGTCGGTCGATCATAGTCTCTCCTACATTAAACACTTCATTGACTTTCCACTCTCACAAAAATAAAAAAAAAACAACCAATTTAAATTCTTTTGCCTAGTATACTCCTATTGTGGCCTAGATGAGCTCTCCAACCACTGGCACTCATGCCAATTGCCTTCCTAATATTTCATATTCGGTCTCACTCCTGACCTTTACATCTACTCATTACCCAAGACTCCCAACTTTAACTCATTCTTCAGCTCTCAATTTAAATGTCACCTCCTCTACAAGATTGTTCTGCCTTCACCACCCAAAACTGTCCTCCCAAAATGCTTTGTGTTTACTAATTCAAGGCATGTTCACAATCTATTAAAATAAACTATCTCAGAGGAGAATCATGCAGTATTTAATCTAAATGAATTAAACACATTGACATTTCATAAAACAAGCAAGCTGATAAGCAAACAGTCTCCATCCCTCCCTCAACAAAACCAGAAATTCAAAAAAGTAAATTATTATTTGTATAACCTACCCTTTAATTGGTAGAGAACTATTTTATCTGGTGGGTAATTGTTATGTTTCAATGCTAAGAAAAGACAAAACAAACTAAATTAGGCTTACTGATAGTTGGTACAGGATAAACACAATAATGACTGCAATAATGACTACTACACTTTAAAAAATAAATTAAGAGGTCTTCAAAGAGATCTATTCAACACTACCTATCATTCCACATCTTTCTTGCTAATGGAATTCTGGTTAGGAAATCATGAGTTTCACATTGAAATCTCTAACCTTAGACAGCAACTCTTATACATCTAATCCAATTATAATTCTTTTCCCTTTGGAAGAGACTGGTTTGAGCATGAATATGTGACACAACACTTACCAATAACATGTAAAGAAAGTCTGAGAAGCATTATGGAAATTTCCAGCTCTTGAGAGCAGGTGATAACTCAAATTTTGGTTCAACACAAAAGCTTTATTCTAGCTTTCTCACTTTCCCCTCTTTCTCATGTATATCTTGTAGGTAACCAATTTCATTAGTTTGCTGACTATGCTTTCCATGTTTCTTTTTTCCCAAATGAGCAGATGCACGTATATTCTCTTACTTAGTCTTTCTCATACAAATGTAGCAATCATACTTACTCTTTTACACTTCGCATGCTTTCATTTAATATTTGTAGCAATCACTCTAAATCAGTTCAATGAAGATCTTCCTCTTTGTTTCTTCATAGCTATATGATATGCCATTGTATACTATGTATATTATACCATAGTTTATTCAACCACTCTCTTATTTATGTCAGTTAGATCCTTTCTAACATTTTATAATACAAATAATACTGCAACAGATAAATTTATACATATATATGTTTTTATTGCTGGAGGGTGTATCTTTAGGGTAAGTTCCTAAAAGTGGTCAAAACATAATGTTTATGTAATTCGGTTAGACATTGTTAAATTTCCTTCCAGAAAGTTAGTATGTGATTAATTTCGGTCAGCAGTAAATTAGCATACCTAAGCCTTACAAATAATGCATTGTCTTACTTTTTTTTTTTTTTTGCCATTGTGATGGGTAAAAGATGGAAGGTAAAAAACATTACAGAGATGGAGACAGAGCAAGATAACCAAATAGAAGCCTCCACTAATTGTCCTCCTGACAGGAACACCAGATTTAAAAACATGTACACACAAAAGCACCTTCATTAAAACCAAAAATCAGGTGAGTGATCACAGTACCTAGTATTAATTTTATATCACTGAAAGAGGCACAAAAGAGGTTGAAAGACAATCTTAAACCATTGACACCACTGCTCCTCCATTCCTTAGCAGTGGCTGCATGGCACACAGAATTTGAATTCTTCGGGGAAGGAGAATGCAATGATTATGGGACTTTGCATTGGAACTCAGTGCTGCCCTTCACTGCAGAAAGGAACCCAGGCAAAACTCAGCTGACACGCACACAGAGAGTATTTAAATTAGCCCTAGCCAGAAGGGAAATGTCCATCCCAGTGGTTGGAACTTGAGTTCTCACAAGTCTCACCACCATAGACTAAAGTGCTCTGGGGCCCTAAATAAACTTAAAGGGCAGTCCAGGCAGCAAGGACTGCACTCTTAGATAAGTCCCGGTACTGTGCTGGGTTTGGAGCCAGTGGACTTGGGGCGCTCATGACTTAGGAAGATAACAGCCAGTGGGAGCAAGGGAGTGCTTATGCCACCACTCCCCCAACCCCAGGCAGCACAGCTCCCAGCTCCAAAAGGGACTCCTTCCTTCTGCTTGAGGACAAAAGGAGGGAGAGTAAAGAAGACTTTGTCTTGCAACTTGAATACAAGCTCAGCCACAGCAGGATAGGGCACCAGACAGAGCCATCAGGCCCCCATTCAAGGCCCTAGCTCCTAGATGACATTTCAAGACACACTCTGGGCCAGAAGGGAAGCTGCTGCTATAAAGGGAAGAACTAGTCTTGGCAGGATGCATTACCTACTGACTAAAGAACCCTTGGGCTCTGATAATCAGCAGCATTAGTGAGGTAGTAGATGCCATGGGTCTTGGGTGAGATTCTGAGATGTGCTGGCTTCAGATATGACCCAGGAGATTGCCAGCTGTGGTGGCTATGAGGAAAGACTCCTTCTGCTTGAGAAAAACAGAGGAAAACATAGATGGGACTTTGTCTTGCAGCTTAGGCACCAATTCAGCCACTGTAGGGTAGAGCACCAAGGAAGCTCTTGGAGTTCCTGATTCCTGGCCTTGGCTCTTGGGTGGCATTTCTGGACCTGCCATGGCTAGAAGGAAGTCCACTTCCCTGAAGGGTGAGTTCCAGGCCTGGCAGCACTTACCACTACCTGACTTAAGAGCTCTTGGGCCTTAAGTGAACATAAACAGTAGCCTGCAGTAATCCCATGGGCCTGTGGTAGTGGTGGCCATGAGGAGAGACTCCTCTGTCTGGGGAAAGAGGAGAGGATAGTAGAAAGAACATTGTCCTGTGGTTTTGGTGCTAGTTCAGTCACAGTAGAATAGAACACCAGGCAGATTTCTAATTTCCTAACTTTGGGCTCTGGCTCCCTGATGGTGTCTCTGGACCAGCCTGGGTCTGGGGGAACTTGCTGCCATTAAAGGAAAGACACAAGCCTGGCTGGATTTCCACCTACTGATTGTAGAGCCTTGGAGCCCTGAGTAAACATAGGCGGTAACCAGATAGGGGTTAGAGCAGGCCTTGGTTGAGAGCCAGTATTGTGCTGGTTTCAGGTCTGACCCAGCAGTCCTTGTGGTATGACCATGGGGGTGCTTGTGTTACCCCTACCACAGCTCCAGGCTGCTCAGCACAGAGAGAAACTCCCTTTGTTTGGGAGAAAGTAAGGGATGAGAACAAGTGTCTCTTCATGGCAATCAGAGAATTTTTCCAGATCTTATCGAACACCACCAAAGCAATACCTCTACAAGTCTGAAAGAGTCATATCACTACTGGGCTCAGGGTGCCCCCTAATGCAGATCTGGCTATAGTGACCAAAAACTTAGATCACAACACCCAAGTCCCTTCAAATACCTAAAAAGCTTTCCCAAGAAGGATGAGGAAAAGAAGTCCAGACTGTGAAGACAACAATAGATACCTAATTCTTCAATGCCCAGACACCAATTAAATCCACAAACATCAAGACTATTCAGGAAAACATGGCCTCACCAAACTAAATAAGGCACTAGAGACCAATGCTGGTGACCCAGAATATGTGACCTTTCAGACAGAGGATTCAAATTAGCTGTTTTGAGGAAGCTCAATGAAATTCAAGATAATACAGAGAAGGAATTCAAAATTCTATCGATAAATTTAACACAGAGATTAAAATAATTAAAAATAATCAAGCAGAAAAATGCAATTCCCATATCGAATAATGCATTAGAGTGTCTTAATAGCAGAATGAATCAAGCAGAAGAAAAAATTAGTGAGCCTAGAGATAGACTATTTGAAAATACACAGTCAGAAGAGACAAAAGAAAAAATAAGAAGGGTCTACAAAATCTGTAAAATAGCATCAAAAGGGCAAATCTAAGAGTTATGGCCTTAAAGAAAAGGTAGAGAAAAAGACAGGGATATAAAGTATATTTAAAAATATAATATCAGAGAAGTTCTCAAACCTAGAGAAAGATATCAATATTCAAGTACAAGAAGGTTATAGAACACCAAGCAGATTTAATCCAAAGGAGACTACCTGAAGGCATTTAATAATCAAACTCCCAAAGGTCAAGAATAAAGAAAGGATCCTAAAGGTAACAAGTGAAAAGAGACAGCATACAAGAGAACTCTAAAACATCTGGCAGCAGGCTTTTCAGTGGAAACCTTACAGGCCAGGAGAGAGTGACATGACATATTTAAAATGCTGAAGGAAAAAACTTCTAACCTAGAATAGTACATCCAGTGAAAATATTCTTCAGCCATGAAAGAGAAATAGGCTTGCCCAGGCAAACAGAAGATGAGGGATTTCATCAATACCTCTGTCCTACAAAAAGTTAAAGGAGTTCTTCAATCTGAAAATACAAAGAATGTTAATGAGCAATAAGAAAACATCTTTATATACAAAACTCACTGGTAGTACTAAGTACATAGAAAAACACAGACAATTATAACACTGTAATTGTGGTGTGTAAACTGCTCATATCTTAAACAGAAAAAATAAAAGATGAACCAATAAAAAATAATAACTACAACTTTGCAAGACATAGTCCAATAAGATATAAATAGAAACAACAAAAATTAAAAAGTGGGGGGTGTCAGGACAAAGTCGAAGTTTAGAGTTTATATTAGTTTTCCCTTTGCTTGTTTGTTAGTTTATGCAATCAGTGTTGTCATCAGCTGAAAATAATGGGTTATAAGACATTATTAGCAAGCCTCATGGTAACCTTAAATCAAAAAACATACAATGGATACACAACAAATAAAAAGCAAGACATTAAAACATAATACCAGAAAAAAGTCATCTTCACCAAAAGGAAGACAGGAAGAAAAGAAAGAAGGACGAGAAGACCACAAAACAACAAGAAAACAAATAAGAAAATGGGAAGTGTAAGTCCTTACTTATTAATAATAATGTTTAATGAAAATGGACTTGACCCTTAATAAAAAGACAGAGTGGCTAAATGGATAAAAAGACAAAACCCAATGATCTGTTGCCTCTAAGAAAAACACTTCACCTATAAAGACATACATAGACTGAAATTAAAGGTGTGGAAAAAGATATTCCATACAAATGCAAATAGAAACAATAAAAGAGCAGAAATAGCTATACTTATATCAGACAAATAGATTTCAAGACAAAAAGTATAAAAATAGACAAAGAAGGCCATTATATAATGATAAAAGTGTCATTTCAGCAACAGGATGTAACAATTGTAAATATATATGCACCCAAAACTGGAGCAACCAGATATATAAAGCAAATATTATTAGAACTAATGAGAGAGATAGACTACAATACAATAATAGCTGGAGATTTCAACACCCCACTTTCAGCAATGGATAGATCGTTCAGACAGAAAATCAACAAAGAAACATCGGACTTAATCTTCCCTATAGATCAAATGGATTTCATAGATATTTACAGAAAACTCCATTCAATGGCTGAAGAACACACATATTTTTTCCTCAACCCATGGATCATTTACAAGTGTAGACCATATGTTAGGCCACAAAACACATCTTAAAACAGTCAAAAAATTGAAATCATATCAAGTATCTGACCACATTGGAATAGAACTAGAAGTAAATAACAAGAGGAATTTTGGAAACTGTACAAACAGATGGAAATTAAACAATATGCTCCTGAATGACCAGTGGGCCAATGAAGAAATTCAGAGGAAACCTGAAAATGTTCTTGAAATGATAATGTAAATACAACATACCAAACCCTATGAGATACAACAAAAGCATCACTAAGGATGGAAGTTTATAGCTGTAAGCACCTACATCAAAAAAAGAAAAGCTCCACACAAGTAACCTAATGATGCATCTTAAAGAAATAGAAAAGCGAGAACAAACTGAAGCCAAAACTAGAAGAAAAGAAATAATAAATATTAGAGCAGAAATAAATGAAACTGAAATGAATAAAATAGTACAAAAGACTAATGAAATGAAAAGTTTTTTTTTGAAAAGATAAAATTGGCAAAACTTTAGCTAAACTAAATAAGAAAAAAATATAGAAAACCAAATAAATAAAATCAGGGTTGAAAAGGGTGACATTATACCTGATACCCCAGAAATTCAATGGATCATTACAGGTTACTATGAGCAATTATATGCCAATAAATTGGAAGAAATAGATAAGTTCCTATACACATTCAACCTACAGAGGTTGAACCACAAAGAAATCCAAAACCTGGACAGACCAATAATAATGAGATTGAAGCCATAATAATAATAAAAAAAAATGTCTCCCAGCAAAGAAAAGCCAGATACCCCATGGTTTCACAGCAGAATTTAAATCTTTATTTAAAGAAGAAATAATACCAATTCTACTCAAGCTATTCCAAAAAATAGAGAAGTAGAAAATACTTCCACTCATTCTCTCAGCCAGTGTTACCCCGATACCAAAAATAAAGACACATCAAAAAAAAGAAAACTACAAGCCATTATCCCTGATGAACACTGATGCAAAAATTCTTAATAAAATACTAAAAAATTAAATTCAACAGCCTGTTTTAAAAGATCAGCATGACCAAGTGGGATTTATCTCAGGGATGGAAGGATGATTCGACACAAACAAATCAATCATTGTGATGTATCACATCAACAGAATGGACAAAAACCAAATGATAATTTCAATTGGTGCTGAAAAACATTTTAAAACATTTAAAAAACTGGCTTACAGAAGGAACAGACCTCAACACAATAAAAGCCATACATGACAGACTTATAGCTAGAATTACACTGAATGGGGAAAAAACTGAAAGCCTTTCCTCTAAAATCTGGAACAAGAAAAGGATGTCTGCTTTTACCACTGTTAGTCAACATACTACTGAAATTCCTAGCTAGAGCAATCAGACAAAGGAAATAAATAAAGGGTATCCAAATTGGAAAAGAAGTCACATTATCTTTGTTTGCAGATAATACAATCTTATATTTGGAAAATTCTAAAGAGTCCACCAAAAAAACTGTTACAACTAAGAAATAAATTCAGTAAAGCTGCAAGATACAAAATCAACATACAAAAATTAGTAGCATCTCTATATGCCAACAGCATGCAATCTGGAAAATAAATCAAGAAAGTAATCTCATTTACAATAGCTACAAACTTAAATACCTAGAAATTAGCCTAACCAAGGAAGTGGAATATTTCTACAATTAAAACCATAAAACGCTGAAGCCAGAAATGAAAAAAGGACACAAAAAAATGGAAATATAGTCCATGTTCATGAATTGGGAGAATCAACATTTTTAAAATCTCCTAACTATACCCGAAGCAATCTACAGATTCAATGCAACCCCTACCACATTCTTCACACAATGTGGGTGATGAGATTATTCACAGAGTGAATAATCTATCAATGACACTCTTCACAAAAATATAAAAACAATTCTAAAATTTACATGAAATTACAAAAAACCCAGAATAGCCCAAGCCATCCTTTTTAAAAGAACAACACTGAAGGAATCACATTACCTGACTTCAAGCCATACTACAGCGGTATAGTAACCAAAACAGCATGGTATTGGCATAAAAACAGACACACAGACAAATTGAACAGAATAAAAAACCCAGGAATAAATTCATACATCTACAGTGTATTTTTTGACATAGGTGCCAAGAGCATACATTAGAAAAAGGACAGTGTCTTCAATAAATGGTGCTGGGAAAACTGGATATCCATATGCAGAAGAATGAAACTAGACATCCATCTCCTGCCACACACAAAAATCAAATAAAAATGGATTAAAGACTTAAATCTAGAACCTCAAACTATGAAACTGCTAAAAGAAAGCATTGGGGAAAACTCCAGGTCATTGGTCTGGGCAAAGAGTTCTTGAGTAATACCCACAAGCACAGGCAACCAAAGCCAAAATGGATAAAAGAGATCACATCAAGTTAAGAAGCTTTTGCACTGCAATGGAAACAAACAAGGTGAATTGACTCTCCTTAGAATGGGAGAAAATATTTGCAAACTACCTATCTGAGAAGGGACTAATAACCAGAATAAATAAGAAATTCAAACAACTCAATAGGAAAAAAAAAAATCTAATACTGTGATAAAAAAATTGGGCAAAAGATTTGAATAGACATTTTTCAAAAGAAAACATACAAAGGGCAATCAGGTATATGAAAATGTGCTCAACACCATTAATCATCAGAGAAATGCACATCAAGACTACAATAATATATCATCTCACCAGTTAAAATGCTTTCTATACAAATGACAGGCAATAACAAATGCCAGCAAGGATGTGGAGAAAAGGGAATCCTTGTACACTGTTGCTGGGAATGTCAACTAGTACAACCACTATGGAGAATAGTTTGGAGGTTCTTCAAAAAGTAAAAATATAGCTGCCATGTGGTTCTGCAATCCCATTGCTAGGTATATCCCCAAAGAAACGAAATCAGTATATCTAAGAGATATCTGCACTTCTATGTTTCTTGCAGCATCATTTACAATAGCCAAGATTTGGAAGCAAACTTTGTGTCCATCAACAGATGAATGGATAAAGAAAATGTGGTACATATACACAAAGGAGTACTATTTATTCATGAAAAAGGATGAGATTCTTCATTTGCAACAACATGAATGATACTGGAAGTCATTATGTTAAGTGAAATAAGCCAGGTATAGGAAGACAAATTTCACATGTTCTCACTTATTTGTGGGAGCTAAACATTAAAACAATTGAGCTCATGAAGATAGAGAGTATAAAGATGGTTACCAGAGGCTTGGAAGAGTAGTAGGGGTTGTGGGGGAAAAGTGGGAATGCCTTAATGAGTACAAAAGATAGAAAGAACGAATAAGAACTACTATTTGATATTACAACAGGTTGACTATGGTCAATAACTTCATTGTACATTTAAAAATAATTAAGATTATTATTGGATTTTTTGTCACACAAAAAAATTAATGCTTGAGGGAACATATACCCCATTTACCCTGATGTGATTATTACATGTTGTATGCCTATATCAAAATATCTTAGGTACTCCATAAATATATACACCTACTATGTACCCACAGAAATTAAAAATAAATTTTTTAAAAAATATAAAGAATAAAGACAATTTAAGAAAAAGAAAAAAATACAGTGTAACTTAATTTTTTTCCAATTATGAGTGATGTTGATCACTTCTTTATATTTAAGAGCCATTATTATTATTATTGTGTGACTATTCTATTTATATTTGTGCCCATTTTTGTGTTGGAATTTTTGCCTTTTTACAAACATTATACAAATCTAAAAAAGTGTATATTACAAAATATACTGGGCAGCTATGCAATATAAAATATACAAAATATACTACTATACTAGTATACAAAATATACTATGCAACTATATAAAATAATATAAAATATACTAGAGATTGAAGCCAAAATAAAAAAGTCTCCCAGCAAAGAAAAGCCAGAGACCCCATGGTTTCATGGCAGAATTTAAATCTTTATTTAAAGAAGAAATAATACCAATTCTACTCAAGCTATTCCAAAAAATGGAGGAGTAGAAAATACTTCCAAACTCATTCTCTCAGCCAGTATTACCCCGATACCAAAAACAAAGACACATCAAAAAAAGAAAACTACAAGCCATTATCCCTTATGAACACTGATGCAAAAACTCTCAAAAACATACTAAAAAAATTAAATTCAACAACCTGTTTAAAAAGATCATCATGACCAAGTGGGATTTATCTCAGGGATAGAAGGGTGATTCAACACAAACAAATCAATCACTGCTTTCATGCTACAACAGCGGAGCTTAATTTTTTGCGACAGAGACCACGTGGCCTGTAAGTCCCAAAATATTTGCTAACGGCCAGGCGTGGTGGCTCACGCCTGTAATCCCAGCACTTTGGGAGGCCGAGGCAGGAGGATCACGAGGTCAGGATATCCAGACCATCCTGGCTAACGCGGTGAAAACCCGTCTCTACTAAAAATACAAAAAAATTAGCCGGCCTAGTGGCAGACGCCTGTAGTCCCAGCTACTCAGGAGGCTGAGGCAGGAGAATGACGTGAACCCGGGAGGCGGAGCTTGCAGTAAGCCGAGATTGCGCCACTGCACTCCAGCCTGGGCGACAGAGCAAGACTCCGTCTCAAAACAAAACAAAACAAAACAAAAAAATTTGCTAACTAGTGTTTTCCAGCAAAAATTAAAAACTACTGTTCTACATCATACCAACCATAGCCAAACTTCAGGAGTTCCAGTGAGGAGTTCATTCTTCAACAGCTGTCTGATGTTTTACATTGCTAAAGTTACACAATTCAGTTTTCATCCTCAGTGATATCAAAGAAAGCAACTGGATATTTAAAGTGCTGATTTAAATAGTGATATTTATGTCTGTGTACAGAAATTAGCATTTAAAAATCATATCTTTCTATTGAATCATAAGCTTCTTTATTGGATTTAAAAAAAAAAAAACGTAAACTGATTTTTATTGAACATACCAGAGTGCATTTATATTTCTGGGCCTGGCTTTCCCAGTGAGCAAAGAGAACAAGTTGAACACCAGGGTCACTCCCCGTATTGACATGTTTAAAAGAGCATTAAACTAAGAAAGACTATTAACAAATGACTTGGAAGGTTATTAGAATTTTTATCCTCTATAATAAAAGTCGATCTTCTCAAGTGTTTATTTTGAGATTCAATTTCAAAGGGTTTTATATAAATAATCTAGAAAGCCGGTTCGTTTCTTGCTGGAAACATTATTGTTATCACTAGAGGGAGCTGGTTTTACATAAAATTAATGTATGTAGGCCTGTATCTAGAAAAAGACAGAAAAGCACTTTGTGGTTCATGTTAAGAAAAAGAACAAAATCCTTTTCAAAATATTTTTTCTGCTAATAAATTGTACTTGTCAAGGAATTATAAACTGAAAGTTTGCTTCAAAATACTGTAATCTCTGTTCCCAAGAGAATTTTTGATACTCTAAATGTGATAGTGGAATAAACATTCTATGGGGGTATCACTTAATTTTCATATAGTAGTATTGATGTCTGTAGTCTTTTCATTGTTCTTTAAATTTATCCTACTTTAATTTTCTTTAAATTTATCCTACTTTAATTTTCTTTAAAATGGAATTTTGTCATTGTATAGTTTGAACAATATGCTAAGCAGAGTTGCAGAGTACAGAATAAGATTTTGGCTAAATTGTCTATCTATTTAATATAAAAGATATAAACATTCTGGTGTTACTTTGAAATGCCTGATTTTCAGTGAGTGCTAAAATGAAAAGAACCATTAAGTATTTGCTTTAACTTAAATACTTTCTTACATGTAAGTACTATTGTATTGATAACTGTCTCAAATTTATGTAAGTAAATTTACATAAATGTACGTAGGTCACATGCAGAGTAAACTTACGTAAGAACCAGATATTCAGCCAATAGCCAATAGCTTTGGCTAACTGGGAACTTACTAAATTCACTGTGTTTCCTTGAGACTTTTTATTTGGAACTCTAACTACTAAGTTTTAAAATAGGGCTAATTCATCTCTCTACGCTTTCTCTGATGCATGGATATCAATGCTTATAAATTATTTATAAATCTCCTTTCAAGTTGAGCAAACCTCTAATTTCAAAACAGGATTGAAATTGATAGAACATGTTTGACCAGGTGAATGGAGTTTTAATCGGTAAATTATTTCAGACAGTGAGGAACCGGCCTTTGTTAACTCATTGACCCATTTAAACCTCTGCCCACCACACACACACAAATTCTTCTTGCCAAATTCAATGATCTACATCAATTTTTAAAAAATTCAGATTATGCCCTTGCTTGATAGCATTTTTATGCTACTAAACGAAAAGATGTTTGGCATTTCTTTTATGTCATAACTTTTCACCTTTAGTCAAGTTTTTAAATTCATAATCTTGAGTAAATATCTGTGTAGCTGTTCTTGAATCAACCAAAGAAAAATAAAAATATTACTGTCTAAGTTAACGAATGTTCATTAGTTGCTCATTAATTATAATTGGACCTACCAATAATGAAGTAGAAAAAAGGGTAAGGATTTGATTTAAAAGACAGTTGTTTTTCTTTCAAAGAAAGAACCAACTGGAAAACAAAACAAATCTGACGATGGCTTTTGTTTCTTACCTATTCTGGTCTCAGTAACCAGTGGTAAACAATGAGGTTTGTTGTTGTGTCTGCTAAGAAGAATATGAACAGATATTACAAGCCACAGTAAATTGTTCAGTGGGTTTTCTCTGTAGAACTTGTTGATTTGAATCATAATGGGGTTTCAAGCAACTTGATAAACCTTTGTCAAGATTTTTAAGTGGAAGAAAAAAAATGATGAAATGTACAACTTGTAGAATTTGTTTTTCCTAGTGTGGTCCCAAATGGCGCCATCCTTTCACTCTCCCAGTGTGCTCTAATGAAGAAGGGACATAGAGGTCATTGAGGTCAACGGCGAATCAGCAAGAGCTGACAAGATGTGATTCTTGGCACTTAGAATGGCTAAATGCCACCAACCCCTCCAGACTATTTTCCAAATATTTTGCATTTTACAAAGACCAAAGACTTTGACCAAACTGTTTCTCTCTCCACTCCATTTTTAGCTCTAAATTTATACTTATAAAGCAAACTCAAACCAGGACTTCTGAATAACACGTTGTTAAGCAGTTTGAAGTGGTATGGAACCTATCCTCAAATTATGTGTAGGCCTCTCAGCCCTTAGAACTGGAAGCTGGGAAGTTGATCACTATTTTCACCTTCTAGTTGGGAGACAGTGAGGTTAAGGAGACCCAACCAAGTTAAATTCAGGCTTTTTTTTAACTTGTTGTCCCTGAATGGAGTTTTGGAGGTCTTTGAAATCTTAGAAATGCTATGTAAATTTTTATGTTATGTATATGTGTGGATATTGCTGGTATATAATGTTCATGATTTTACCAGAGTCTCAAAGGGTCCACAAAAACTTAATATGTTGAAAGCAATTAAAAAAAAACAAAAAAATTATCTTCTGGAAAATGTAAGCTTCTCCACTTAATCTTCACAGCAATTCTGTAGATTGGCTGTTACAGCCAATGGTTAATACAGATTCTAGAAACAGGCTGCCAAGATTCCAATTTCAGTTCTGCCACTTATTAGCTGTATGAACTGACTTTTTGTACCTCAGTTTCCTCATATGCAAAATGAAATAATAGTAGTACCTATTCCATAGGGTTATTATGAGGAATAAATGAGGTAATATTTGTAAAGTACCTATTCCTTGCTGCAAGATAAATGGTGAGTGTATATGTGTGTGTGTGTGTGTGTGTGTGTGTGTCAAAAACACTAAATATTAATCCCCAGGGTTTAGACGATGAAACTATGTTAAGAGATTTGCCTAAAATCACATTGCTTGTAAGAGGAAGAAATAGGTCTAAAATTCAGAGGGGTTGTTTTGTTTTCTTTTGTTTCCATTTAAATCCTGCTAATCATTGGCCCTAATCAGTTCTGTGTGTGTGGTCTCTTAGCTTCCATTTCCTCTCTATTCCACCACCCCACCCTGCCCAATGTTGTCCTTTTTTTTTTTTTTTAGAGATGGAGTCTTGCTCTGTTGCCCAGGCTGGAGTGCAGTGGCATGATCTCAGCTCACTGCAACCTCCGCCTCCCAGGTTCTAGCAATTCTCCTGCCTCAGCCTCCCAAGTAGCTGGGACTATAGGCACCCGCTGCCATGCCCAGCTATTTTTTGTATTTCAGTAGAGATGGGGTTTCACCGTGTTGCCCAGGCTGGTCTTGAACTCGTGAGCTCAGGCAATCCACCCACCTCAGCCGCCCAAAGTGCTAGGATTACAGGCGTGAGCCACCATGCCTGGCCCCAATGTTGTACTTTTAAAATCATTTTATATGCATCTTCCACCGCACTTTGCTCTCAAAACTTCAAAATCTCCCCGTTATCTGGTTTGAATCAAACTTTAATTTAAAACAAGGAATTGTTGGAGCACTAATCTATGAGAGGTGGTGAATTACTAATGCCGTATTAAAATAAAATTTATTTACCCAAACTGCTCTCCTAGAGAGTAATTTAAAATGAGATAGAGAGAAGTTCACCCACTCCTTCCCTCCTACTGCATGTGCAGTCACACACACACACACAAACACACATACACACATACACACACACAGACACACACACACACCCCTCAGACAAACTCAAATCGAATTGCTCCGGCTAATTTTAGTGCTTTTCTTTTGGTAAAAAGAGTATCTAAATTTGCGGCAAATTCAATTGTTCTGGACAAGAGAGGAGAGATTGATCCCTATCACCTAATATATAGGGCTTCTTTGTCCCTTCTCTACAGAGCAGTTAAGCTGCAAGACCCTGAAATTATTGACCAAATACTAAAAGAACAAATATTTGAAGGGGCACCAATTATTAACCTACCCAACATGACCAGCTTAGAATCCTTCCTGAGTACCCTCAAGTTTTCATCTAGCCCCGATTCAGATCACAGGTTATAAAACCTTTACTATACAATTCTGTCTCACTTGGAGTACCTCATTACCTGGAATAGAAGTCATGTCAGTGGCTGGGCGCAGTGGCTCATGCCTGTAATCCCACCATTTTGGGAGGCCAAGGTGGGTGGATCACAAGGTCAGGAGTTCAAGACCAGCCTGACCAATGTGGTGAAACCCCTTCTCTACTAAAGATACAAAAATTAGCGGGGTGTGGTGGCGTGTGCCTGTAATCCCAGCTACTGGGGAGGCTGAGGCAGGAGAATCATTTGAACCCTGGAGGTGGAGGTTGCAGTGAGCCGTAATCACACCACTGCATTCCAGGCTGGGTGACAGGGCGAGACTGTCTCAAAAAAAAAAAAAAAAAAAAAAAAAAGCAAGTCATGTCAGCATTTCAGTCCATTAGGTTCTTTATGTCTCCTAGTCCTCATTCTTCCTCATCCAAGTTATCACAAATGAGGAGAATGGGTTTCTTTTCTATGACTACCAAATGCATTACGTAGTAGTGGAAATTCCATTGGTAAAATCATCACCAATAAATGTAGTTTCAAATCCTGTTTCCTCACTTGTTTGCCACAATACCTAGAGAAATTTAAATAGATTTCACTGAGCTTCATTGTCTTCTTCATCTATCAAACTGCAAAATAGCATCTGTTTCAAGGGTTGATATAAGGGTAAAATAAAATACCATACAAAAAATATCTTGGCATAGAGCAGCTGCTCAATAAATGCTAATTTGTTTCATTACATTGTAGCTAAAGATTTATTGTATAAATATAATTTGTTATATTCTTGAGTGTTTTACAGTTTGCAGAGAGAGCCTTTACATACATCATTGCATTTGCTCCTCATGATGAGTCTGTGAAACAAAAACTATGATCATTATCCTACCAATACAGAAATGGTGTATGATAATGATGAAATGGTTTGCCCTCCAACTACAGTTTCAGAGCTGGGACTGAAAAACATATCATTTTAAAAATTTTGTCAATATTTAAGTTTATTTTTCATTCATTATCAGTGTCTCTTTTTTGTTTGTTTACTTTTAAAATATTTTAAAATTAGCTTTAATTATAAGAAGTATTAATATATACATTATCATGGTTAAGAAAAATCTACAAAATAAATGTATATATAGGTCATCCCCTTTCTAAGACTCTCCAAAGAGGCTTCTTTTATTTTTAAAAATAATTTCAACTTTTAGTTTCAATGGGTACATGTGCAAGTTTGTAACATGGGAGTATTTCATGATGCTGAGGTTCGGGATACAGAGGATCCTGTCACCAGGTATGGAGCATAGTACCCAACAGGTAGTTTTTCAGACCTTGCTCCCTTCCCTCTTCTACCACCTCTAGTAGTCCCCAGTGTTTATTGCTCCCATGTTTATTTCCATGTGTGTTCAATGTTTAGCTTCCACTTATAAGTGAGAACATGCGGTATTTGGTTTTGTTTCTGTGTTAATTCACTTAGAATAATGGCTGCCAGCTGCATCCATGTTGTCACAAAGGATATAATTTCATTTTTTATGGCTGTGTAGTATTCCATGGTGTATATGTACCACCCTTTCTTTATCCAATCCACCACTGATGGGCACCTAGGATGATTTCTGCTAGTGCACGTGTCTTTCTAGTAGTATGATTTATTTCCTTTAAATATATATAATAATCTCATTATTATATATAATCTCTCTCTCTCTCGCTCTCTCTCTCTCTCTCTCTCTCTCTCTCTCTCTCTCTCTCTCTATATATATATATATATATATATATATATATATATATATATATAAAATAATGAGATTGCTAGGTCAAATGGTAATTCTAAGTTCTTTGAGAAATCTCCAAACTGCTTTTTACAGGGACTGAACTAATTTACATTCCAACCAACAGTGTATAAACATTTCCTTTTTTCGGCAACCCAGCTAGCGTCTGTTATTTTTTGACTTTTTAATAATAGCCATTCTGACTGCTGTGAGGCAGTATCTCGTTGTGGCTTTTATTTGCATTTCTCTGATGATTAGTGATGATAAGCATTTTTTATATATTTGTTGGTTGCTTGTATATCTTCTTTTGAGAAATGTCCATGTTCTTTGCCCATTTTTTTAATGAGGTTATTTGTTTTCTGGTTGTTGATGTACGTTTCTTATAGATTACGGACATTAGACCTTTCTCAGATGCATAGTTTGCAAATAATTTCTCCCATTCTGTGTGTTGTCTGTTTACTCTGTTGATAGTTTCTTTTGCCATGCAAAAGCTTTTTAGTTTAATCAGTTCCCATTTGTCAATTTTTGGTTTTGTTGCAATTACTTTTGAGGACTTGATTTAAAATAGTTTCCCATTCTCTATACTATATTAACACTTGAGAAAGTTTTACTGGATTAAACAGTGTTTTTGTTGTTGTTGTTTTCTTTCTTCTGTTTGTTTGTTTCTTGAGACAGAATCTCACTCTGTTGCCCAGGCTGGAGTGCAGTGGCACAATCTTGGCTCACTGCTACCCCTGTCTCCCAGGTCCGAGCGATTCTTATGCCTCAGTCTCCTCAGTAGCTGGGATTGCAGGCGTGCATGACCACACTTGGCTAATTTCTGTATTTTTAATAGAGATTGGGTTTCACCATGGTGGCCAGGCTTGTCTCAAACTCCTGACCTTAGGTGATCTCAAGTGGGAGGCCTGCCTAAACAGTGATTTTAAACCTAGTTTTGCCCTAAGTCACTCAACACCTGCAATTCTTAGTTTCCTCATCTGTTAAATAAAAAGGCAGAACTAGACCACATTTTAGTCCCATTCCAGATTTTAAACTGTTGGCTATAGAGTTCTAATATGAAACTAAAACTAAATAAAAACTTTCCCCATTTCCATGGCATCTGAAATACTAGGGCTGAATCATTTTTTTCACTTAGTATTAAAAAAACTCATGGATGATTCTTTCTTAATCATAGGTTATTTCCTAAATTGTGTTTCCGTAAGTATAACTGAGTGAACCTCAAATAATAGTGTGAGAACGTGTGACAGTGTGATATAATGATATCAAAAAGATTCATGAAGTTTTCCCAAATGTTTTGCTTTCTATTACCTTAAAATTTTTTTGTTTCAATTAAAAATGGAGGAGTGAAAATTGGAACTGCCAGAATCTAATGTCATAAATTATTGTACATACGAAGTCACTCATAAAACTTTTATGTTTAATACTTCCTCTCCAACTGATAATTGCTTCCTGCTGTTTGCAAGAATTAATGTGAATAAAACATAAAGTATTGCCTTTTTTACATGATGGCTTTGGCTTCTCTCTTTCCACACAACCTTCTAAAAGAAAGGTCATAGAGCATGTTATAAAACAAACACTGAACTCTGAGTGTCCTCTTTCCTTCCTTGGATAATGGCATCAATGGATATTGGCAGGTTATGTTTCAGGATCTTTGGGGTGTCACTTTTCTGGCCTGAAACCTCTGGCTGGTGGTGCCTTTGCCTGAGTTTTGCTGAGGCCCACTAGGCTGGTTCTGCCCACTCAGCCTGGCAGGCTATGCTTGGCTCACACTACTGACCTGGATCCCACATCTGCCAAGGGCAAGTTAAATGTGGAGCAACAAGGGGTATGTGAGTGAGTTTGGGGTTTGGCCACTGCAAGTCAGACACACAGGCTGCTGCAGCAGAGCAGGAAGCTCCAGGTGCTGGTATGGGTGCCAGGTCTCTGCAAGGCTGCAGCTGGACCAGGTGCACCACAAGCAGCTTCCCCAGAGGGCACCTGGGAATTGCACTGGCACCCAGAAGCTTGGAGACGCCAGGCACTGCAGTACCCCAAAGGGGGAGTCACAGTCCTGGCTTGGGAGCTCCCAGGTCTGGGTTCCCTAAAGGGCTGCAGCTCTTCTTTCTTCTCTTTCCTTGCAAAGTGGCAAGAAAGGGGCATGTTTCAGCCATTTGTGTAATACTTTTTTAGCTCTGCCATTCGGCAGGTCCCTAGTTCTTGTCCTGCAACCAAGAAGAATGAGGTACGCAGACAAGTGGAGGGTGAGCAAGATGAAGAGGAGCTTTATTGAGCAATAGAACAACTCACAGGAGAGGATCCCAATGGATAGCTCCTTTCTGCGGCCAGGGTGTCCCGACATGTGTTCATCTCCTAGCAGAGAGGAGGCCCTGGAGTGGGTTGCTCCCCTCTGCTGCTGGTCATCCCAATGTCTCCTGCTGTCAACAGAGAGGGTAGTTCATCTCTGCAGCTGCTCATCTGTCATCTGCTCAGCTCTGGCTGAGCCTGGGCTTTTATGGGCTTCAGAGGGGACGAAGCGCATGCCAGTTGGCCCATGAGTGGCCATAGGTGGCCCAGAAAAGGCACTACAAATTCCTACTTCAGTCCTTGGGACTGGCATCTTGGCCCCAGCCTTCAGACCCTCCCTGGCCTTCAGGCCTCACTGGGGACCCACCCCCTTCCACCCAGGAATCTGTCTGTGTCCTGCTGCCATTTATGGCACCCAGGCTCAGCCCCAATTTTGCTCCAAGTTCTGAGTGGGCTCCAAAGGCAGGGACAAACCAGGCAGCAAGAGCAGGCACTTCTGAACCTGCAAGGGCAGGGGACGGGGAATGCCCTGTGAGTGCAGAGATAGCCAGCTCTGCAGCCACAGCTTAGGTGGCTGTAGCTGTGCTGGGGAGGGTGGGGCTCCTGCCTGCACCCTGGATCAGGAGGCCTGGATCCACAGCCATGACTTGGGTGGCTGCAGCTGCACCTGGGGGGGTGTGTCTCTGGGCTGCTCCCTGGAGCAGGAGGCCGAGAACCACAGCCATGACTTGAGCGGCTGCCGCCCCACCTGGGAGGGTGGGGCTCCTGCCTGCTCTGTGGAGCCAGAGGCCCAGGCCACGCCTCCCTGCTGCAGCTGGTTTGATGGCAGTGGCAGTTCCATAGGGCCTCCACTGCCATCATTTAGAAAACTTGAATCACTCTGAATTGTCCCATTACCTCACCTCACCCCAAATTTGACTTGTCTCTAAAACATCTCTTGAACTTGATGGTGTCTCTGCACTGTCAATGTCTCGGTCTCTTGCTTGGGCTACTGACTTGATTTCTGTCAGATCTTTGTGCCACCAGGCTTTCTCACACTTCCCTTTTTTCAAATGATCTTCCCTGAAAAACAAATTAGTTGTTTCCCTTTATGATCTAAAGTCCTTAATTGCTTTCTTCCTCTGAATTATTGCCTTTGAAATAATGACCAAACCTCTTAGCAAGTAGTGTCTTCATGATTTGGTTTTAGGGCCCTTCTCAGTTTTATATCTAGACCTCATTTTTATATAACTTGTAGACCTATCATTCATACAAAATTATTTCCAGGGGTCTATGTCTTTGCACGTTTTTCTTGTTCTCTATTTCTGTAAAGCCCTCCCTGACTGACAACTGATGCTCATCCTTTCACTGCAACTAGAGTATAAGTTACTCTGAGAAGATTCTTCTGGCCTTCCTTGATACTTGTGTAGAATTAAGTATCCTGTCTCTAGGATACCATTGGTTTTGTACATATGTCTTTTACGGGATTTCTGTTGAACTTTAATTAATTATTTGCCTGTCTATAATTCTCCTTATACTTGGAGATCTGTTAGGTTGTTAATAGACATATATTGAATGAATAACAAATGCCAAAGTTTAGTATTGACCCCAAATATATATTACTGATCCTTAAGTCAAATAACATCAACAATGTTGGTGACTTAAATTAGTTCCTATGACAGAAACAAATGATGATGGGAACATTAATTAATAATATGGAACACAAACTGAAAAAAGCTTTGTGCATCACTAATGGCCAGCTAACTGCTTTAGACAGTAAGTGCTACGAATTCAGGAACAGAGCCTGTTTGGACTGGAGAGATCTGGTAAAGATTTCTGAAGGAGTAACTTAAGCTAAACCTTAGAAAGTATTTTGCATTTAAGAGGTAAAGAGGAAAGGAGAAAGCATTGGGAAAAGGGGAAAAGTCTAATCAAAGTCACAGAGACAGAAGAGGATAAAGAGAGTTCATAGAAGAGTGAGTTGGCAAATTAGACACATTATGCTAGGTTAAAAAAATAGAATGTGGCCACAGTATGCATGGATTCGTATGTCATACTGAGAATCACAAACCATATCTGGAAAATAGGGGTAAGTCCTAAAATGCATTTGGGAGGAGAATTTTAAAATATAAGTTGTGCTACTGGAAGAAAATATTTTGATAGGAATACCACCAGAAGGCTCCTGCAGCGGCATTTTAGAGCCTGACCTAAAGTGAAGTCACTGAAAGCGTATTTAAAAAGACTGTAGGAGGCCGGGCGCGGTGGTTCACACCTGTAATCCCAGCACTTTGGGAGGCCGAGGCAGACGGATCACAAGGTCGGGAGATCAAGACCATCCTGGCTGGTGAAACCCCGTCTCTACTAAAAATACAAAAACATTAGCTGGGCGTGGTGGCGGGTGCCTGTAGTCCCACCGCCTCAGGAGTCTGAGGCAGGAGAATGGCGTGAACCCGGGAGGTGGAGCTTGCCGTAGCTGAGATCGCACCACTGCACTCCAGCCTGGGCGATAGAGTGAGACTCCGTCTCAAAAAAAAAAAAAAAGACTGTAGGAGAACTGACACAGTTAGTGTTTCATTAGACATGGACTATTGGTTAAAGAAAAAAAAAAACAGTATTAAACTTAAATGATCAAGTAATAGTGGTAATATCAAAAATAGTATTCCTGAGTACTACTATGTGTCAAATACTTCACGTATATATTTAAAAATTTTTTAGCTTTTATTTTAGGTTTTGGGGGTACATGTGAAGGTATGTTACACATGTAAATATGTGTTTTGGGAATTTGTTGTACATATTATTTCATCAGCCAGGTATTAAGCCCAGTACCCAATAGTTATCTTTTCTGCCACCTTCCACCCTCAAATAGACCCCAGTGTCTGTCGTCTTCTTCTTTGTGTCCATAAGTTCTTATCATTTAGCTTCCACTTATAAGTAAGAATATGTGGTATCTGGTTTTCTGTTACTGAGTTAGTTTGCTAAGGATAATATCCTCCAGTTCCATCCATGTTCCTATAAAATACATGATCTCATTATTTTTTATGACTGCATAGTATTCTGTGGTGTATACATACCAATTTTCTTTATCCAGTCTGTCACTGGTGGGCATTTAGGTTGATTCCATGTCTTTGCTATTGTGGCTAGTGCTGCAATGAACATACACATGCATGTATCTTTATAATAGAATGATTTATATTTGTGTGAGTAAAGGGATTGCTGGGTCAAATGCTAGTTCTGCTTTTAGCTCTTTGAGGAGCCACCATACTGCTTTCCAGAGTGGTTGTACTAGTTTACACTCCTATCAACAATGTATAAGTGTACCCTTTTCTCTGTAACCTCACTAGCAATTGTTATCTTTTGGCTTTTTAATAATAGCAATTCTGACTGGTGTAGATGGTATCTTGTGGTTTTGACTTGTATTTCTCTAATGATCAGTGATAATGAGCTTTTATTCATATGCTTGTTGGCCGCATGCATGTCTTCTTTTGAGAAGTGTATATTCATCTCCTTTGCCTGCTTTTTAATGGAATTGTTTGTTTTTCTATTGTAAATTTGTTTAGCAATTTGTTTAGATGCTGAATATTAGACCTTTGTCAGATGCATAGTTTGCAAATATTTTCCCCAATTCTGTAGGCTGTGTTTACTTCATTGATGGTTTCCTTTGCTGTGCAGAAGCTCTTTAGTTTAATTAGATCACACTTGTCAATTTTTGTTTTTGTTACAATTGCTTTTGGTGTCTTTGTCATGAAATCTTTGCCCATTCCTATGTCTAAGATGGTATTGCCTAGGTGATCTTGTGGGGTTTTTATAGCTTTTGGGTTTACATTTAAGTCTTTAATTTATCTTGAGTTGATTTTTATGTATGGTGTAAGGAAGGGGTCCAGCTTCAATCTTTTACGTATGACCAGCCAGTTATCCCAGAACCATTTATTGAATAGGGGGTGTTTTCCCCATTCCTTGTTTTTGTCAGTTCTGTGGAAGATCAGATGGTCGTAGATGTGCAGCCTTATTTCTGGACTCTCTATTCTGTTCCGTTGGTCCATGTGCCTGTTTTTGTACCAGTACCATTCTGTTTTGGTTACTGATTATAGGGTTAGCCCTGTAGAATATTTTGGGTATATTTAATTGAGGCATTTAGCCCATTTACATTCAAGGTTAGTATTGATATGTGTGGATTTAATCCTGTCATTGTGCTGTTAGCTGGTTATTGTGTTGGCTTGTTTGTGTGGTTGCTTTACAGTAACACGGGTATGTGTGTTTAAGTGTGTTTTTGTATTAGCTGGTATTGGTCTGTCCTTTCTATATTTAGTGCTACTTTCAAGATCTCTTGTACAGCAGGTCTGGTGGTAATGAATTTCCTCAATATTTGCTTATCTGAAAAAGATTTTATCTTTCCTTTATTTAGGAAGCTTACTTTGGCTGGATATAAAATTCTTGATTGAGAATTTTTTTTCTTTAAGAATGTCGAATATAGGCCCCCAGTCTATTCTGGCTTGTAGGGTTTCAACTGATAGATCCACTGTTAGCTTGATGGGGTTGCCTTTGTTGGTGATGTGCCCTTTCTTTCTAGCTGTCTTTAAAATTCTTTCATTTTGACCTTGGAAAATCTGATGATTGTATCTTGGGGATGATCTTCTTGTGTAGAATCTTTCAGGAGTTCTCTGTATTTTCTGAATTTCACTGTTGGTTTCTCTAGCAAAACTGCGGGAAGTTTTCATGAATGATACTATGTTTTCCAAGTTGTTTGCTTCCCCCCACCACCTCACCCCTTTCAGGGATGCCATTGATTCCTAGAGTTGGCCTCTTTACATAATCCCATGCTTCTCAGAGGTTTTGTTTATTCCTTTTTATTCTTTTTTTTTTTAATCTGTCTTATTTCAGAAAACCAGTCTTCAAGTTCTAAGATTCTTTCCTCAGCTTGGTTTATTCTGCTGTTAATATTGTGATTGCACTGTGAAATTCTTGTATTGTGTTATTCAGCTCTGTCAGACCCATTAAGTTCTTTTTTATATCAGTAATTTTGTCACTCAGCTCCTGTATCACTTTATTGTGATTCTTATTTTCCTTGGATTCAGTTTTGCCATCTTCCTGAATCTCAGTGGTCTTTGTTCCTGTCCATGTTCTGAATTATATTTCTCTCATTCAAGCCAGTTTAGCCTGATTAAGAACACTTGTTGGAAAATGGGTGCAGTCACTTGGGTAGTTGAGTAACCAGAGTTCTTGCATTGGTTCTTTCTCATATCTGTATGTGAGTATTTCTTTAACTGCACTGTAGATTAAGTACAGTCAATAGATTTCCTTTCTGGAGGTTTTCGCTGGGCCCAGGCTTTGTGCGGTGTCCTTATTTGAAGCTGACTTCTTGTCTCTTGTTTCATAGGGGGGTCTATTAGTGAGGTGTTTTTGGTGTTGAAGCTTTGGAGTGTGATCTAGCGGGTGGCACATAGACTTATTGATCAGTTGGTAGACTCTTGTTTGGTTTTGTGGCTCTCCCATGTTTCCTCACAGTTGCAGCTGTGTTCCCTCTTAATGCTCTGAAAGTGTGGGTTTGTCTCCCTCTTGAGTGATGGCTATAGATTCTAACTTGGCACTTCTGAGATACCCACTGCAGCTGTGGAGCAATCTCATGGTTATGTTTCTTTCCCAACTTGGAGGTAGCCGAGCAAGGGATCTTAGTAGTGGTTGTGGCTTAGGGTCATTTGTTTGTCTCCTGGGGGCTCCACCCAGAAAGATGTAGGTCAGGAATCACTCAGTGTAATCAGCCCAGGATGGAGGGTCTGTGCTGTGGGCCCAAGCCAGTGTTCCCTGTATGGTGACAAGCAGTGGGCATGTGTGGGACCCATGGGAGACAGACTGGCCTCCTCTCCTTGGGTCAACTGCAGCTTGTTGGAGGTGTGGATAAGGCACTTGGGTTTTTGCTCCTTCATTGGCCTGAGGGTGGCAAGGGCAGTTCCACTGCAGAGGCAGAGGCAGAAAAGCTTTCTTGCCCCTGTAGGCCCTGTCCAGAATGTCGCCGAATTGCTACTGGCTTCATAGCTCTGGTGAAGTCTGGCTGGAGGCCCAGGCCTGGAGGACCTGCCCGATGAGGAGATATGGGAATGGGCATCCATGTAACAGTCTGGCCACTTTTCCGTATAGCTGCTGCGGTATGCTTGGGGACCTCTTCAGTGCCTAGTTGACTCAAATTTTCCAGTACCTGGAGGTAGCACCAGTGAAGGCTGAGAAACAGCAAAGATGGCAGCCCATTCCTCCCTTTGTGAGAGAGGTATGGGCCTGTTGCTGGCCTAAAAGCACCTGTAGGAGGTGGCTGGGGACCTTGATTAAGACGTCCCACACTGTGAGGGAAAACGGGATTGGGGTCCTGCTTAAAAAACCAGTCTGGCCATGTTTTGGTAGAGCACCTGTGCTGTGCTGGGGGTCCACTTCAGCCCCCAGTTGCCTCAAACACTCTGAAGCCCAAAGCCTGGAATGGCTGAGTCGCCCAAACAGCAAATATGATGGCCCACTCTTCTCCCTGAAAGCTGTGTCCCAGAGAGGTTAAAAATCTGTCAGCCAGAGAACACCAATGAGTGTGGCTGGAGGCCCTGGTTTAGAGGTCCCACCCAGTAAGGAGAAACAAAATTGGGCACTTACTTAAAGCAGCAGTCTGGCCACATTTTGGTAGAGCAGCTATGCTGTTCTGAGGAATCTCTTCCAACTTCAATCAGCTCAGATTCTCCAAAGGCTGAAGGCTGGAATGGCTAAGGCACCCACCCAGCAAAGATGGCAGCCCACCCCGTCCCTTGGGAGCTCCTTCTTAAGCAGGTGCAATGCTGCTACCAGTGGCTAGCTGGAATTCCATTCCAGAGGGTCTTATCTTGTGAGGTGCCATGGAAGTGGGGCCTGCAGGCAGATGCTGCTCAGCCCCCTGGATTCAGCCTCTTTCCTAGGGGTATGTACAGGGGTCTAACCCCCCACTTTGTGGGAGCAACAACTATCTTTGCTGGAAAGCCCAGTTATCTAAGCCTCCAGGTTCTCCAAGCACGCTCTGCCAAGACTCCACGTAGCTCTGTCTATCAGACTGAAGGCTCTGGCATAATGGGTTTACAAGGAGATCTCCATACCTGAGGGCTGCAAAGATCTGTGGGAGAAGTGTGGTTTCCCAGAGTCACACATTCACTCAATGCTTCCCTTGATGGGGGCCATTCCCCTGGCTTCATGTTGCTCCCAGGTAGGCCGTTGTCCTGTGTTGCTTTTCTTTGTTTTCTGTGGATCAAGTTGTTTCCTGATTAGTCCCAGTGTGGCCACCTGGATGTTTCAGTTGAAGGTGTTTTATTTATTTGCCCTTTCCATTCCTCTCCATGAGAGCCACATATACTAGCTGCTTCTTCTTGGCCACCATGGCCACTTTCCCCTAAATTTTTAAAGTTTATATCTTCTAAGAATAATTTTAAGAATGGTTTCAGGGTCATAGCAAAATTGAGGAAGGTACAGATATTTCCCGTATACCCCTGTCCCAGCAAATGCCTGGGCTCCCTTATTTTAACATCCTTCAATGGAGTAGTACGTTTTTAAAATTGATAAGCCTACATTGACACATCATAATCACCCAAAGTCCATAGTTTACATTGGGTTAACTCTTGGTTGTACATTCTATGGGTTTACAAAATTGTGTAATGACATTTATCCACCATTAGAGTATTATATGGAGTATTTCCATTGTCCTGGAAATCCTCTGTAGTTTGCCTATTCATCCCTACCCATTCCTTAACCCTCGACAACCACTGATCTTCTTACTGTCTCCATCACTTTGACTTGTCCCAGAATGTCATATAGTTAGAATCATAGCATGTAGCCCTTTCAGATTAGTTTATTTCATGTAGAAATATGCATTCAAATTCCTCTGTGTCTTGTCATGCCTTGATAGCTCATTTCTTTTTAGCACTGTATAGTATTTCATTCTCTGAATGCACCATATTTTATTTATTCATTCACCTACTAAATAACATCCTGGTTGCTTCCAAGGTTTGGCAATTATGAAGAAGGTTGCTATAAACATGTTATTCATGTGCAAGTTTTTGTGTGGACATAACTTTTCAACACCTATAGTTAAACACCAGGGAATGTGATTGCAGAGTAGTATGGTAAGAATATGCTTAGTTTTGTAAGAAACTGCCAAGCTGACCTTCAAAGTGGCTCTACCACTATGCATTCCCACCAGCAATGAATGAGAGATCCTCTTGCTTGACATCTTCACCCGCATTTGTTGTTGTCAGTGTTCTGGACTTTGGCCATCTAATAGGTACATAGTAGCATGTTATTATTGTATTAACTTACATTTCCCTGATAACATATAATGTGGAACGTTTTTTTATATGCTTATTTGTAATCATTATATATTCTTTGGTGAGGTGTCTATTCAGGGGTTTGGTCCATTAATTGGGATTTTGTTTTCTTATTTTTGATTTTCAAGAATTTTTTATATATTTTAGTTAACAGGTTTACTTTTTATCAGATGTATGGTTTTTTTTGCAAACATTTTCTCCCAGTCTATGGCCTCTCTTCTCATTATCTTGATGTCATCTTTTGCACTTTTTTTATTAAGCACTTACTATGTGGAAGCCATTTTTATAAGGGTTCTACATGTCATCTCCTCTACATATTTAATCCTCACAACTCTATGAGGCAGGGACTATCGTCAATCCTGTTCTACAGATGAGGAAACTGCAGGACAGAGCAGTTAAATTTCTTTGTCACCCAGGTAGTAAGTGGTAGAGTCAAAATTTTAACTCACACAGTTTGGCTTCACAACCTGAGCTCTTAAATAAAACAATCACATAAACAACCATAAAATCACCACTATGCTAAGTGTTTTAAAGGAGAGAGGTCTGCTGCAACAAGAACATGTAACACTTGATCTGGAAGAATGGGAGACTGGTCAGTGACTGCTGACATCTTAAAGATAATTTGGAGTTGATAAGGCTCATCTTTTTACTAGTGGAGTATTTATGAGTAAAAGCCATTTCTTATTATTTCCCACAATTCAGAGAGAAGGCAATGGAAAGTAGTGTTTAAACTGCCTAAAAGTGCTCAAGATACTCTTCTTAAGACACAAACTATTTCTTCTGAGTTGGAAGGCTCTCTCTTCAAAAGCCCACTCCTGCTTTTCCTTTTCAGAGAAGCTTATTGCTGTGAGTCTATGGGAAATCAATTTTTAAAAATGATTCAAAAAGAGCACAGAATTTCTGGGTCCTTTCTAAGAGATACTTGGCCCCTGGAGAATTAAGTGTGCACCTCAGCAAGAAGGATGTGTATGGTTCAGTAGAAGGTGTCTACACCAAGCTGTGAAGCTATGCTGTTTAGCATCTTGTATTATTGAAGCAAACACGCCTAGTGATGTCGAGGTAGATTATGTAATATCTTTTTAAGGAAACGTTGGCAGTAATCTTAGATTATTTATTTAAATTCATTAAATCAATAGCTTTTAGGTTTTGTGAGATCTTAAGAGTTACTGGGAAGCTAAAATCTATTAACGACCCTAGAGCTAAGAGACCACTTTGTGTATTTACTAAGAATGTGTTCTCTATCAACCTTTTAAGATATTAAATAAAGATTAAATATATTCACATGTGAAAAGAGAGTTTGAACTTGAGCACTTTTCTGATACATAAAAGTTTGATTTTGGAAATCTCTTTCTTAAAGAGTGTTAACATCTCAGACTCCCTCTGATCAGATAGTCAATCCTTGCTTTCTGTGTTTGCTCCCCAAGGAGGCTCTTGGCAGAAAAAGTGGGCACAGCACTTTATAGTTTAGGGAGTAGTTAGTTGCACAATCTTCATTATCTCAGTCCTCACAACAACTACATCACAAGGGAAAAGCAAGCATGTTGTGCTGATTGATGTTATTTCATCCTCCTCCTCTTCTTGTTGTTCTTGTTCTTCTATTATTATTATTATCTTCATTATACAAATTGGGAAACTCAGACACAGTTAAGTGATCTGACCAAGATTACAATTCCAAGTAGAGAAGCATGCCTTATACTTAGGTCTTCTGCCTGTAAATACTATACAATCCTCACCATCAAATAATAAACAGTCACAGCACACTGGCTCAAGTAGGAGGTCAGCTTGTATTCAGCCTCTGCCCAATTAGCAGCTCACCAAAGTACATACCTGTAGAATCCACAGCTTGCAGAGCAACAGCCTAGTGGGGAGAGGGACAGGTAAATTAGTGAGGACAATGCAGTGTAGTGAGTGCTGTGATGGAGGCATCCAGGGCAGGGGGAGGAAGATCGTTTATGTCAGCTGGAGGTTGTTTAGGGTAAGCTTTGCAGAATAGGTGATTACAATGTATTGCACCTGATTGCTTTTAAAAATGTTGCAAAAATTATTGTTTTTAAAAAAGAAAATAGTAGCTCTAACCTAGTCAGGTACTAGAATGCTTTGAATAAACCCTGTGCCTGGCAGGTGGTCACAGCAGGAACAAGGGAGGTGGGGGATCACGTGATTGGAGGGCAAAGCCAAGTTTAGCCACTGATGGTTATCCCTGCTATCTCAATAATCCACCCCTTAAGGTCTTTTAATTTAAAATAAAGAAACAGGAAATACCTGGAAAGAGACAGAAAGAGGCTGATAGCATGGCCGAATAATAAACAGAATCCAAGACTTTGAAGTCTACCAGGTACAGTCCCCTCACCTACCCCTCTCTAGGAGAGACGGGAAAGAGAAGAAAATTAAGTGGATTAGAGTGACACATTTGCTTCAGAACCTCTTTCAGTTCCTTAATGCTCCCTCCCTGCAGATTCTTCTCCTGCCTGCTTCTAGCATTTCAAAAGCTCTGCTGTTGACGTCAATCATAATCTTCTGACTCCAGCCAAAGCCACACAATCCTCATAACATAGGTAGTAAACTAAGGAAAACCATTTAGAAATGCTTCTATTGCATTTCTGGATGGCAGGTCCTCTACTCTGTCTTCCTGACGTCTTCACATTTTATTCCCAGTACCTAGGCACAGAAGACATGTTATTTATTAGAGTAACTCCTGGACTCTATTCACTGAGCTCTTAAGCTGTACTTTTGGACCAACTAAAGGAACTGATATCTGACGTCCAGAATTTGGGGGGAATGTTAGCAAGTATATAAATCCTCAAATGCTTCCTTGAAGTATGTTATCACATAAAGATGCTAATAAGTTTTCTAAAAATTGTTAAAATGGGGCTATGGTGGCAGAATTTTCTCTGGTTTCTGGGAGCCACTGCTGCATCGCTCATTTGACTTACACTTGCAGAGCGCTTGTATGTGACAGACACTGTGGGTACAAGAGTGACCCTCAAGGAGATTACAGCTTAGTGAAGATGCAGACAAGTGGACAAACTCCTTCAGCATATCAACCTCATCATTTTATAGGTAATGCCAGAAGGACAAATTGATGTAGATTATTAAACACAGAAATGGGAAAGCACATTTTTTTCTTCTTGATTTCTTATGGGTTGTTGGCCACAAAACTAGCATGTGAGTACTACTGATGTAAATTTACTGAGGCTTTACGTGGGATGTCAGAAGAGGTGTGAAGGATTTCAATAATACCTATAGTTGGTATTTCTATTTGTATTTACTTAGAATTACAAATAATCATATAAGCAAGGAAAGTTTGAACAGAAACCTTTATTATGAGGAAAGGAAGAAAAATGTACAAAAAGACCAAAGGCATATTGCAAAGATTAAGCATGTTGAGGATTAAGTAAATTTATGTAACTCCTACTTTTGTGTTTTCCTCCCTGTCATAGGCAATCTCTAAAATGTCCCCCAATATCCCTGTCTCATGGTCCTCACAACCTTGTGAGTGGTACTCATATCTCTTTTTGAATGCGGGCTGGGCTTGAGTCTTTCTCTGCTTTCTTGTTTTGAGGGGAGCCAGCTGCTACACTGTCAGCTGCCCTATGGAGACACCTCTGTGATAAGGAACTGAGAGAGTCCCTAGCCAATATCCAGCAAGACACTAAGGCCCTCAGTCCAACAACCCATAAGAAATCAAATCTTAGCAACAACCACGAGTGAGATGGGAAGCTGATCCTCCCTTAGCTGAGCCCTGAGCTGACTGCAATCCCAAATGACATGAATGAAACCTTGATTGCATCCTCATTGGAGGCCCTGAGCCAGAAGATCCAGCTAAGCTGTACTCAGATTGCTGCTCCATGAAAACTGTCTGATAATAAATATTTATGGTCTCAAATCACTATGTTTTGGGGCCAATTTGTTGTGGAACAATATATGTAAGGCTCCCTCTCTTCAAAAATGAGGAAACATTTAATTGGATCTTGAAAGAAATAAAAAGCTGTTTCTCAAGTCTATGAGCATGTGGAGATGATTTATCTTGTCATAATCTTCCTTGCTTCTTTGGTTTTCCTTCTACCTACTTTACTACCAACTCTCCTAATTCCTTCTTTCCACCGACCATGGGAGATACGTATGGAGTAGTGAGTAGTGCAAAGCATGCATGGGAGGTTTGGAAGCTTTGAGATATACACAAATTCTTCAGGGCAAGACCCAGGAGTGGACAAGATCTGGGGTGGAGGCATGGGCTAAGCCCACAAAAGCCTCTTTCTGTCTACTTCCTCCAGAGCAATTCCATTTTTATTATTTCACAAACTGAGATTCTGCATAAAATTTAATTTGAAAAAAGCATCTCAATTAAAAAGAAAGTTTGAAATGCTTAAAAAGCACTTGTCTAGCACGTGTGCTTTCCAGACAAAGGACTAGGAGACAAAAAGCACGATTGCACAGTTCTCTGAGATTCAGTTTCCTCACCTCTCTCCTGGAGATTAAATGACCCATCTATACCTGTCACAGGGTTGTGGGGAGGTTTCTCTGTGAAGAATGAGAATCCCCTCTGTCCTTGTGGCCTGGACACTCTAGCCCAGATACTCCTCAGGGCTTCTTCTCCTATTCTGTACTCAAACTCCAGGTCTCCCTGAGGTTCTACAAATATCAGTCCACCCTCCATCACTCTTTGTGTTCTTTAACTCTGCTGGTGTTTCTTCATCTCACTTATTACAGCCTGATATATTTTGTATTTGTTTGAGATTTTTAAATCGTGTTTCTTTCCTACCGTGCACTAGAATACAGGCTTCAAGAGGGCAAGTACTTTGTATATTTGGTTATATGCTATGTGCATTCTATATCATCAAGATTTAGAACACTGCCTGACACCTAACATACTCAATAAAAATTTCTTGAATGAAAAGAATGAATGAATGAATGAAATGAGACAATGATTTGTGCCCTTAGTGTGATATTCTAAAATAGGCTATTCTTCTTATCTAACTCTTCCTGGGTAACTGTATCTTTGGATACAAGTACAATAGTAACAGATTTACTCCACACCACTGGAATAAGTTAATGCCCTTTCCCAATTTCAAATTTATTCAGGGATTCCAAAGCAACTAATCAGGATGTACATTCTCTTTTAAATTTGATAAAAAAAAAAAAAAAACCAGCTACATAGGTTTAAGGAACAGCTGCCACTCTTCCCCCTCACTCCCATATTCCAGCACACTCACATTATTACTTTGACGTATCCCTGAATAATTTGTGGTGAGGTTCACATGCCAACCCCGTGTTACAACTCCCCCACCCTGTTGGTGTCTGGAGAGCTTCCAGACTCATGGCTGAGGAAAATAGAACTGAGAGGCAAAGAAGAAACAAAGTCACCCAGTTATGTTTCCAAGATAGCATAACATGAAGCTTTGTTTTATTATACAGTTTGAATTCCAGAATTGGATTTGAAAAGTGGTTTGTGAATAATTTTATATGAAATAAAACTAAAGAATGACAAATGGTGTTTGTTAATTGCTCTTCCTGTTATTAAAACAAAAGATTCAGAAAGATCATTTTAGATAAAAATTGCCAAACTTTTGAAAATGAGTTGAAATAATTTAAGATCAAATAATGCATTTTCTAAGTGTTTCTGCTGTATGAGTAGTAAAAATTACTAACCCAAAGTTTTAAAGTAGAATTTTGTAAGAAACGTTTTTAGAGTCAAAAACTATAGTGTGTATTTTTCTCTCTGATGATTTCTTCCTTCTTAGAGAATGGGAAATCTGATAGTTGCCTTTTCGTCTCTTTCTACATACCTTGTTTTCAAGGTGAAGCTCATTAGCACATAGCACAAGCTGAATTCTGATTTTCTAGCTGCAGAGGATGATCTGAATGATGATGAGGATTAGCTCATTCTTGAGTAGGTGTGATCAGTGGATCCCTGAGAACTGCCTCCTCAGCCAACCATTGTTAAATTCATCCTTCCCCTCATAGCAGGACTGAGGCTCAGCTAGCAGCACCAGTTTAGGAATGCTCATTGTTTACAGTCAGGGTCCATTCTAATTGGGCTGGTATATGTTCACATTGATGTTGCTCATGTCTTCCTGGTTGTTAAATATTTACATGGCCCTGAATTTTCTTTGGGGTACAAGTGGTTTAGGAGACACTTAAGACTGATGATGTAACCTTACCTGCAAGGACTGGTTTAGTGATAGGGAAGTGGCCTGAGCCAGTCCAAAACCAGAAGGGATCCCAGAGTTTGGTTGGGAATTCCAGGACACAAATGTCCCTTCTTGTTCTGGATGTTGTGATGTATGGTTGTGAAGTCTGCAATCATTTTGTCACCATAAGGAAAACTAGTCTGAAGGGGAGGCTGACACACAGAGAATGACAGAACTGAGAGTATAATAAAAAATAAGTAGTCCAGTACAAATAGCACCTAAAGCCCACTCTACTTCTAAACTTTTTGAGCTACATAAGCTAATATATTCCTTTTTGTAACTTGGGGCTTTCTGTAACTTGAAACAGAGATAATCCAACTGATAACGGAGGGATGTATCACTAAAGAGGATGATGGTACTATGACGGTACTGTTTTCACAAATCGTATCTTTTAATGTCCAAGGACTTAATAGTAGTGAAGAATTATTTGCAATAATTAGCTGAGTACTTATTATTTCCCAGTCACTTTACACTGTTATTAAATTTAATACCCAAAATAGTCCTGTGAGAATAAAAACATTATCCCATTTACTGGATTGGCCAAATAAAGCTCAGAGAAAATGCATTTCCAACACCAGGTGATCAAAGCAGAACTGACACCCAGCACTGCCTGACTCCACAATTTTACAATGGCCTCAGCCTCCCATGCCACCACATCTTTCATTACACTATTCTACTGTAGTTAACTGGATTGGGAAGGATCTTGCCCACCACGCAGATGAGTTTTAGTGGCTTTTATTTTGGGAGGAGGAAGAGAGGACATGTCACAGCATAGACTCTTTTGAGAATGTATTGAAATCTATGACACTCTTCTCATGAAAAAAACATAGTTAATGCTCATAAGACAACCTGTTTAGTATAATGCCAGAGGATTCACAGAGGTCCGTGAAGGCCATCCATGCCTCTCTTTATTGTTCCCACCCCCAGTTTCAGAAATCTAGCTATATTCTTTGTAGACCCGTAGATGATTTTAAGTTAAATAATGACATAATCTGATTTGCACTCTGCAAACATAATTCTGGTGGCTACCAGAGGATAGGCTAGAAGGTTGAGTGCCTGCAGGAAGGAATGTGCATTGGCATTCTACAGCATAATTGTATCCAGGTGGCGGTGAGAACATGAGAGTGGACTATATCTAAGCAAGAGAGCCAAGGACAGGTGGAATGTGTGGGATGCAAAGAGTGAAGCAAAAGAAGGAGTCCTGGATGACTCCAAAATCCTTAAATCTGATAACTTGGCAGAGGCATGGAATTAACAGGGAGAAGAAACAAAAATTGGTGTTCACAGAAGAAGGAATGAATTGAAACTATCAACATTGTAATAGAGGATGTGACTTAGAATTAAGTGTTACATGACAACTATGCCTGACTGATATGAATAAACAGGGAGCAGAGAAGCACAGAGATGTTTCTGATATAAGAAACATTATCTAAGCAGATGAAAAATTACCAAAAATATGGGCCAAGGAAAAGTTGAAAAGTGTGTTTGCTTTTTCCCAAGAGAATATTTCAATTTTTGTGCAATCTGCATTCCCCAGGTCATATTGGTCTGGGAGTAAAAATAGGAACAGAAGAGCAGAAACAAACAATAATTTGCTCGTTTGACTTTTTCTGCTATGCACCACACACTACACATGTGTGCGGGAGCAAATGTCTTGACTGTTTCTGCCCTGGTTATTGAGCTCATTCCTGAGTGCTGAGGTGCTCTGTTCAAGATGCACAAGGTCTTATGTTCTGCTCAGACTCCCATGTTCTGTTTTTTTTTTTTTTGCATAATGTCAGCTCTTCTCAGGGACCCCAAATGGTAAAGGACCCACCTTTGTATCTCCCGAATCAATGCCTAGTTGATGAATTTTAGCACAGAAAAGCAGACAACTTCTTTAAAGTTACTTTTTATTATATGGCTGGCAGTCCTTTTCACTAACTGGCTTCATCCTTTCTTCCCCACCTCCCACCCACTCCACTCCAGAAAAAAACTAGACAGCTACTCCCTAGAATACAAAATTGCCACACCCTCTCTAACTCTGATCCAGAAATTGCTTTTCTTTCAGATGCCCTCTTGTATCTCCTGCAAGTTGGCTGGTGAAACACCATACCAATGGGTGTCTAGAAATCACCATTAGGGGTAAACCCCGGGGAGTTTATATCATGCTACATCTTGAGATAACACAATGATACAAATACGATATTGGAAGATGTCATTCGATGTTGTTACATAGTTGTTTGCACAGAATTAGATTTCTGAAAATGTTAATGTGCAACTTTTCTCTCCCAGCATTAACGACACAACAACAACAACAACTGCAACCACAGCAAAGTTGCATTGACTTAATGTCTGGATGTTTGTTTTATATAAATGTTTTAATCATCTCAAGGATCAGAATTATACACTGAAAATAGAAACCCAAATCATCTTGGCTCTTGATTTATTCTGCTACATGAAACCATAGTGAGAGTGGATGACTTTGTCAACTTTTTAAAGCCAGACTTCTCGCACATATTGTTAACAATGTCCCTGGCTTCTGTGGTTTCACGTGCCGTATTGGATGTCAGTGGAGAACATGTTCTATGGGGAGTTTCCTTTCTGGACAACATCACCACATCACTAATTTGCTTTCAGTAAGGAAGAAAAATTAAAATATAAAGCTGAAAAAAAAGTAAGTTCAAGAAAAGAAAGCAAAATGTCTCATTATATAATTAGAAGCTAATTCAAAATTTACATTTGAAAGTATTGCAGTTATATGCCAGTTTAATCTCTGCCATAAGCTTCCTCAAGACTACAGATACCAAACATTTTAGATTTCACAACGGATTCTGAGTATCCTGTACCAAAAACAAGGAAGGAGTGTCAGAAAACATTTCACAGCAAATCTGAAGCAGCTTGACAAAACAAGCAGAAAAAATTAGGAAGTAACAACATTGCATAGTCAGCCAAGTATACTGGGAATCAGTCAGCAACAGAGATACACTTTCTGGAACAAATGCTTAAAATCAACTGTGAGTGTGAAAGTCGGGGATTCAAACACACGTGACAACTAATGGTACAACTACAAATCCTTAAATGGTACACTCTCCTGTGGGACTTTTGCTACTTCTCAGACATTACCAATCCACTGGGCACACATACATCCACCACTAAGGGGAAGGACATCTCCCAATAAGCAATATTGCAGCAGCTATTGGTACAGATTCATTGACAAATTCGTGATCTCATCTTTCCTTGTAGCAAAGGCTGAGTTTGCCTATTCAGGGACATTTATAACTATTTCAAACAGTTAAAATAAAAATCTTATTTTTTTTTTAGATGGAATTTTGATCTTGTTGGCCAGGCTGGAGTGACAGTGGTGTGATTTCAGCTCACTGCAACCTCCGCCTCCCAGGTTCAAGCGATTCTCCTGCATCAGCCTCTAGAGTAGCTGGGATTACAGGTGGCCACCACCATGCCTGGCTAATTTTTTTGTGTTTTTAGTAGAGATGGGGTTTCACCATGTTGGTAAGGCTTGGTCTCTAACTCCCGACCTCAGGTGATCCACCCGCCTCAGCCTCCCAAAGTGCTGGGATTACAGGTGTGAGCCACCACGCCCAGCCAAAATAAAAATCTTAAAGCCATTTTCAAAGTGAGTCTGAGAAATAGAAGCCTAATTATCTGAGATCCAGGAAAGTAGTGTTCTATGCTGACTCTTTTTTCTTCTTCAAATATGTCTTGGTTCTCTGCATTTCTATTTGTTTTAAAATCAGTTTGTCAATTTACACACAAACACACACACACACACCCTATTGGAATTTTTATTGGGATTGCATCAAATCTCTAAATCACTATGGGGAGAAATTTTATCTCTTTACAATACTGAATCTTCCAATTCATTAACACTGATTAGATCTCATTTATTTAGCTCTCCTTCCCTCATTTATTTAGATCTGTGGTAGTTTATTTCAGTGATGATTATATTTTTCTGTATATAGATCTTACACATCATTTGTGAAATTCATTTCTAAGCATTAATGTTTTTATGCTCTTATAAAAGTACTGTTTTTAGATTTTAACTATGTGTTTGTTGCTGGTATCAGAAAAACAGTCAATTTCTGCCAATATTGACTTTGTATCCAGCAGCCTTGTTAACCTACCTATCAACTTTAATAATTTAGTCACAGATTATTTTGGATTTTTATAGATAAATTCATACCATCTGAAAGTCCAAATATTATATCTTTATCTCTTTTTCTTATTTCATCACACTGATAAGGACTTTCAATACAATATTGAATAACTCCATGGTAATTTTTGTGAAATTTCATTCACTGGACTTCAAATTTATCCCATTTGAGAAAGACAATGCTTTAAAATTATCTTCCTCCAAAAAATTATGATTGAGCTGTTATGGTTCTGTCACTCAAGAAATCAGTAAAACTATAGGTGTCTGTGGATTCCTTATAGCAACTAACTTAAGTAAAATGACTCAGTCATAAACTGTACTACAAGATGGAAGAATCATGTAAGTAACTTTTATTTCTAGAAATACATAGAAAATAAAACATGTTTTAATCATGGCATTGCTGGATTTACATTGCTTTTTTTTTCCTCTCAAGAATTCACAGATCTTTAACACTAGATTTATCTTTATCATATCCTTTAAGTGTCAAAGCATAAATTGATATTTTGATCCCATTTGGGTGTAAACAACATTAAGCCCAGCAACATGACTTTTTAGGACTTTCATTTTAGTTTCAGTGTACATGTGCAGGTTGGTTCAACAGATAAATTGTGTGTTGTGGGGCTTTGGTGTACATATTATTTAGTCACCCAGATGATAATTATAGTACCCAATAGGTAGTTTTTCTATCCTCATCCTCCTCTCACCTTCTACCCACAAGTAGGCCCTGGTGTCTATTGTTCTCTTCTTTGTGTCCATGTGTAGTCAACATTTAGCTCCTACTTTTAAGTGAGAACATGCAGTGTTTGGTTTTCTGTTTCTGTGTTAGTTCTCTTCGAATAACAGCCTCCAGCTACATCCATGTTGCTGCTAAAGACATTATCTTGTTCTTTTTATGGCTGTGTAGTATTCCATGATGTATATGTACCACATTTTCTTTACCCAGTCCACTGTTGATGGGCATGCAAGTTGAGTCTATGTCTTTGCTATGGTGACTAGTGCTGCAGTGAACATATGCATGCATGTGTCTTTATGGCAGAATAATTTATATTCCTTTGGGTACATACCCAATAATGGGACTTCTGGGTCAAATGGTAGTTCTAAGTTCTTTGAGAAATCACCAAACTGCTTTCCATAATGGCTGAATTAATTTACATTTTCATCAGCATCTTGGTTTCACAACCTCTGTTTTTTTGTTTTTTTTTTTTTACTTTTTAATAATAGTCATTCTGACTGATGTAAGAGGGCATTTCACTGTAGTTTTGATATGTATTTCTCTAATTATTAGTAAAGTTGAGTATTTTTTCATATGTCTGTTAGCCATGTATATGTCTTCTTTTGAAAAGTGTCTATTCATGTTCTTTGCCCACTTTTTAAAGAGGTTATTTGTTTTTTTGCTTGTTAATTTAAGTTCCTTATAGGTTCTGGATATTAGACCTTTGAATGATAACTTTTTTCAGCTAACCACAGGGGCAGGATACAACAGGATTACTGAATCTCAGGAAATTAGAATTTCCTATCCAAATTCTCTTTCCATGTGGCTTTAATATTTTCCCTTAAATATTTGAAGTAATTACCTCTGTTTGTAAATCTGCAAAATCAATACCTCATTGTCTTAATTAATGTTGCTTTATAGTAAGTCTTGTAACATAGGCCTCTATGTCTAGAGAGGGCTTAGGAAGCAGGGTCTCTCTGTTCTAGGATTTAGACCCTGCTTTGAGACTTTCCTGGTTTGTGTGTGGTCAGGTGAATGGGAGAGAGGAAGGCACAAAGATCTTTCTCAGGGAGCAATCAATGTCTCAGCTTTCTTTGCTTCCCTTCTAAGTCATCTTCTTTCCTAGCTAAAAGAGACTCTCCAGAATGGAAAAACCTATGCTCTTTGATTAATCATATATTTTTTCAAGTCCATTTTTATGTTCTGAGTTTTACCCTATACTCTCTTGAGAGAGAGGCTTTTGAAATCCAAAAGCCCTAAGATTTACTTCTGCTCTCTGTTGCATCATTCCTCCCTTGAGATAATAAATTATGATGACAGAATTGGCGAAAGAGCAAGTATTATAAAGCTATGTTGTGGAGAAAACTAGATTATATCTTAAAATATTACCCTACACAATTTGTCTAGAGTTCAAATGATAAACATAAGTCAAAGATAAACATCAGGAAGTCATAAGCAAACTGATGATAGGTTAAAGTAAAATATATGAAAAGGAGTCTTGTAAATGTTATAAACTAAAATTAATTAAGTCCCCTTACTGGAAAGCTCATTTGCTATAATTTGCTCAACACTGGCCCAAAAATGTTTTCAATCGGGGAAAGTTAAAATAGCTACGGCAGGGCGTCTTTATCTCTCAAATTCATCTTTCTACGAACTACTTATATATAGTTATTATGGAACTTCTTTGGGCCTGAATTCATGGAGATTACAAGTGGTTTTTAAATAAATACTTCATGACTTCCCTTTTAGAATTCCTTTTATAATGAAATCATCTAAATAATTAACAGTATGCATGGCTTTAAAATGGTATGTTTAAATAAATGAAAACTGAGAAAAAGTAATATGATAAATGGTCTTTTTATATGATTTGTATTACCATTTAGAGGAGACACACAATCGGATTAATAGTTTTCATAACTTTTTTTTTTTTGAGACAGAGTCTCTTGCCCAGACTGGGGTTCAGTAGCACTATCTTGGCTCACTGCAACCTCCACCTCCCGGGTTCAAAAGATTCTCCTGCCTCAGCCTCCCGAGTAGCTGGGATTACAGGCGCTCACCACCAAGTCTGGCTACTTATTTTGTACTTTTAGTGGAGACAGGGTTTCACCACCTTGGCCAGGATGGTCTTGAACTCCTGGCCTCAAGTGATCCTCCCACCTCGGCCTCCCAAATTGCTGGGATTACAGGCTTGAGCCACCGCACCCAGCTTAGTTTTGATAACTTACAAATTATTTCTAAATAACTTGTATTTAAATAAACTCATATAAATAAATTCTTTTATGAAGAATTTTGTTGAAAACCGACAAAAGTGAAAAGATTTCCAGGTTATAAGGGGACTTCATAAAGTTCATGGAAAATGTGTACTAGAAAAAAAACTATACATGATTTCAAAATTTGTTTGCACCAGAATAAACCTGTACTAAATTTTTATGACATGTCTGAACAGGATCTAGTTTAAGGCACTAAGAAGGCTAAGACATCAATTTGAAAAGAGCCCCTATCAGAACAACATAAATTCTGCTGAAATTGAAGTAAGAACAAACATCAAATTTACAGTGAGGCTTGTGGGGAAGAGTGATAAAATCAATGATAAAATTTATGGGGACAATGCCCTAAAGAAGTCAGCAGTTTATAAACGGATTACTCATTTTAAGGAGGCCTGAAATGATGTTGAATATGAAGCCCTCAGTGACAGACCATCCACATTAATTTTTAAGGAAAAATTCATCTTGTTTGTATCCTAATTAAAATGGACTGATGATTAACAGCAGAAATGAATACTATCAACACCTCAATTGGTTTAGCTTACACAATTATGACCAAAAAATTAAAGTTAAGCCAACTTTCCATTTGATGGGTGCCCATACCATTGCACCCAGATCAGCTGCAGACAATAGCAGAGCTTGCAATGGAAATTTTAAACAAGTGGAATCAAGATCCCAAAGCGGTTTTAAAAAAATTGTAATAGGAGATGAACCACAGCTTTACCAGTAAGATCCTAAAGATAAAGCACAATCAATGTAATTGTTACCAACAGGTAGAAGTAAGTGGTCCAGTCAAAGCAAAAGCAGATGAGTCAAGAGCAAAGGTCACGGAAACAGTTTTCTGGGGATGCTCAAGGCATCTTGCTTGTTGACTTTCTGGAGGACCAAACAACATTTGCTTATCATGAGACTGTTTGAGAAAGTTAGCCAAAGTTTTAACAAAGAAATATCCAAGAAAGCTTCACCAGAGTCCTTCTCTACCACAATTCTACTCCTCATTTCTCTCATCAGACAAGGGCAATTTTGTGACAGTTTCAATGGAAAATCATTAGGCATCCACCTTAAAGTCCTGACTTGGCTTCTTCTGACTTCTTTTTGTTTTCTAATCTTAAAAAAAATCTGTAAAGGGAATCCATTTTTCTTCAGATAATAATATTAAAAAGATTGTATTGACATGGTTAAATTCCCAGGATCCTCAGTTATTTAGGGATGAGCTAAATGGCTGGTATCATCATGTACAAAAGTGTCTTGACCTTGATGGAGCTTATGTTGTCACATAATGTTTATATTTGTCATTTTTATCTTTTAATTCTCTTTTTTCCACGAACTTTTTCAAGTCCCCTTGTATTAATTTCTGGCATAGACTTAACTATGTAACCGCATTTCTGTGATGACTACTCTGTTATCTGTACTTTTGCTCTAGATTACAGATCCAGCTCTTTATTGATAAAACATCTACTCAAGTGTCCAATATTTGAATAACCTTCCTGTACCCTCTCTTTTCCTCACCTCTCACACCCAATAAATTACCAAAGCTTCTTGATTTATTTCTAAGTATTCTTGAATTTCATCATTTCTCTCCTTGTCTACTATCAATATCCTAAATTATTACCATAAAGAGTCTGAAAAACTACAAAAGGTATCTCAGATTGCCCTCTTGTCACCCTCTATTCTATTATCCACATTGCAACCAACAATGTCTTTTTAAATTAAAAATGCAACCACTCCATTCCCTCATTTAAAACACTTTCATTGTATCTTACTGCAACCCATGTCAAAAAACACCACTTTGGGTGCCAGTCATCCAGAACAGAATTAGGTATTCTTCATGAATCTAGATATTCTTAAATTCAATTGTAATTTGATTTTCTTTCCTACTCTTTATAAGAAAACAAACTATGATTTCTTATTTATTATTGTATCCCCAATGCCTTTGCATAAATGCAAATAAATTTTTGTTAACATCTGACTGAACAAATAAATTTGGTTTTGCACAGCCAATGCCTAGGGATTTAGATGGGGACTCACCCCTGCTACACCCCGTACACTAATCGCAGTTGAAGTATGCTGCTACCAAGTGGAGCATGACCTCCAATGGTTAATTAAGAAACTACAATGTAAACTGAATGACTTATGTATTAAAATGTAGATAACAGAAATTTCTTTAAAGTTATTATAAAGTCATAAATATTTTCCTATTATCAATAAAATAGCATAGAATGACCCAATTGTTGAGTAGAACTAAGTAACTATGGGTCTTCCTGAAGCTTGTCCACCTCATTGATTCCAGAACTCTTCATTTACTTTGAGCTTTAACTCCCTTAACCAAAGAGTTACTTCAACAAAGGCTTTCTTACCAGCTTTATTAACATTTACTGCCTAGTATCTCTCTAACTCTTTTGCAAAGAGAAGTCACATTTTGGGCCAGGTGTGGTGGCTCACGCCTATAATCCCAGCACTTTGGGAGGCCAAGGTGGGTGGATCATTTGAGATCAGGAGTTCGAGACCAGCCTTGCCAACATGGTAAAACCCCATTTCTACTAAAAATACAAAAATTAGCTGGGCGTGGTGGCACGCACCTGTAATCTCAGCTATTTGGGAGGCTGAGGCACGAGAATCACTTGAACCCGGGAGGCGGAGGTTGCAGTGACCCAAGATTGCATCACTGCACTCCAGCCTGGGCAACAGAGCGAGACTGTGTCTCAAAAAAAAAAAAAAAAAAAAAGAGAAACCACATTTTTACCCATGAGACTGTCAAGAGATCTTGGCTATGTTATGCATCTGCTCATCAGCAACATGAATATTTATTTGTAGGATGCATGTCTTTTAATAAAAGTACCATTTATCTCCATGAGGACACTCTGTCCTTCATATTTTGAAGAAAACTGCTTTAAGTTTTCTATTCTGTCTTCAAAGCAATGGTTTAGCTGAGAGTCATTCGAAGTAACTTTATATTTTTCTGTTTCCTCAGTAACCATAATGAGTAGGATTATGTGCTTCTCTTCCTTTTGATATAAATCTTCTTTGAGGACTAGAAAATACATGTCCAAGATATATCAGAGCATAATTTTGAAAACATATTGAAAGTATAAAAAATCTACATATAAACAATTTCTTCATAAGTAGTCATTTCAGAATCTAAGCTCTCAGCAAGATACATTTTCACCATCAAAAATATAGTATCAGCTCTGCTTTAGATACAAATAAATTGAGCCTCAGAAAAGATTTCTGAACATATGACTTGATGAGCAACTGTGACCTCTATATCCATGGAAATCCTGCCATGACCATCATGTCCATATGGGGCTCACAGTAATAGACCCTCTTTATAAATGAGTCTTGGCTGACTAAAATATTGTCAGTATAAATATCACTATTCAGAAATAAATATTTAGATTTTTAAAAATGTACTCATAAATATATTTTAGGTTTGTTGTTGTTGTTGTTGTTTTTAATTTTAGAAACATGGCTCCCATTCTCCAGAGAAGAAAGGAAGAAAGAAAAGCAGCAAGCAAGCAAGCAAGCAAGAAAACCTAAATGAGTTTGCATGCAGACGCTTCAGTTAAATATGTAAGAGCAGAGGTCAAAGGAGAGGGCACTTCCATTTGGAAGCCAGGAGGCTACAAAGGGGCCAGATCCAAGAAACTCTAAGAGGAAGAGACAGAGGCAGAACTACAGATGGTTCATGAGACCAGGTGCCGGCTGCCAGGCCCACTGCCTTTGTTCTCTTTTAGCCCCTTTCCTGGTCTGGATTCTGCCCTCTGGTTTCTATCTAAATTCAGCTACATCCTCTATTTGCAGTTTTCATCCAGGATGTAACTATTTCTCTGTTATCAGCATCTGTGTTGCTTCAGATGGTGCTTCCTCATGTCCTTGAAGCATTTCCTGAGGTACAATTCCAACTGTTTGGATTCCAGGTGTCATTAATGCCAACCATTAATCAGATATGTATATCCTTGTCTCCCACAGAGTACTAGACTGTTTGTTTATGGTTTTGTCTAAAAGGACTCACTGTAATGATGAAGCAGAGCTTTAATTGCTCCCAAAATGCATAATCATACCTTACACATTCCAACCATAGAAAGTAATTTTTAAATAAGAGAATCATAAAATACTATCACAAATTCCTTATCTATGTAAACAACTTGTATAGAAGCACTAGATAACTAGTACATCTTTAAGGAGATTGATTTACCCTAGAAATTTGACATGTTTGCAAAGCACTACTATTAATTTTTCATTTAATTGGCTTCAGAGTTGGGTGCCTATCTATTTATAGTATACGACTTTCTTGCTCTGTATATATCCTTGTGCCTGTCTTTCCTTCATATCTAAGCAGCTAATTTTAAGAGCAAGCTTTCTTATCTTCACACGTATAACAAGAAAGCTATGAAGGGTACCCTTAGACAACAGCTGCTTAATCACTGTACAATAAGACAAAAATATCCAGTGAATAACCAGGATAAAAACAGGTTTTTAAAATAACATTTCAAACGATAGATTTATTTGTGGTTCTTACCTGAGCTAAGTGTTTTTATTATTTTTTACTTTTTAGAGATGGGGTGTTGCCATCTCTAAATGTTGCCAAGGTTGGCCTCCAACTCCTGGGCTCAAGTGATCCTTCTGCCTCAGCCTCCTGAGTAGCCCTACAGCTAAGTATTTTTAGGAACAGAGCCCATCCCTGACCTATCTTGGTATCCCATAATTTAACTGGTACAACATAGGGCATCACATCCAGTGGCTAATAGTTAAAATTTGTTGAACAAAAATACAATTTACCAAGTAAAAGAAAACCAGAAAATTAATGAAACTGACACCTTCTTACCTTTCCATATTAAATGCTTGCTTCAGTATTTGGCTAAGAATAATCTTTCACAAATAGAGCAATTCATAAGTTGAGATGAAATATTGAAAGCACTATGTAAAAGTCTCCTTTAGAAAATATAATATGCAATTGATTTTTCTCCGCTTGCTAAAAACACAAGTCTGCACCAAAAGGCTTTTGAGCTGAGTACATCAGGTTTCCATAGAAGCACATAAAGTTAATAGAAATGTTCTGTTCAGGAGTTTGCAAAATGATATCGTGCAGTTCCCACTTTGAAATGTGTATTTGTTACTCATATTGACTCTGCATCAGGTTACCTATAAATTCTTTGTTTTTGTTGTAGGTGAAAAAAAAGAAGTAAAAAAAATAGTAAGCCATGTACACAAATGATTGATGAGGCTCTCCAATGCCAAATGGTTTGAAAGATTCAGTGATTACTCATACTACACAGAAAAATAATAGTTCTATCCTCCTATGAACATTCTGCTTATCTAAAAAGACCTTATTACTTAGAATTAAGATGTTAACCAATCTTTTTCTGGTCTCAGAATCACTAAGTTGTTTATATCAGCACCACATATGAGGTAGAATTTCAGAAAAGGCAAGGTTAACAACTTAAAGGGGATCACACGCCAGTTGATCACACACCAGTTGATCACCTGTGTTAGTTTATGTATGATTTACAAAAAGTGTATATCCTTCTTATTCAGAATTATGAATTAATTGAACATAATGTCAAAGTCAGCCATAAATCAAGCTTTCTGTTTGCTTAGGTCATATCTAATGAATACTTGGGGTCTATGGAGTAATCATGGAGTTTCTGAAGGCACCTGTTGTTTTACCTCACCTACTGAAAAAGACTTTGATAACTGCAAAGGGAATACTTTTTTATGGTATCTGTTGGTCGTCACTTTCCATCAGTATTTTCAGCATTGATTTGATACATGCTAGTTGTTTCTTATGCCTAGAATGGCATTTTAAGAAACTGCTTTTTGTTGAAAGAGATGTTTATAGTAAGATAGTGTAGGTATGAACACAACTATGAGTTTTAAGCTGAAACTCAGCTGAAAAAGTAAGCTGAATTAGATTGAAGGTTACAATTTTTACATTGTGATTTAACACTCCTGGTCTTCTGGAATGTGTCCAGAGAGGAATATGCTTAAAATAGATTTTTTTCATTTATTATATGTTATTCTTTATATATATTCTTATATATTCTTATAATGAGGACAAAAATCAAAGCTTTGTTAATGGTAACTGTATTTTTCTTATCATATTGAAGTTTAGTCTATTTTAGTGAGAATATTCTTGTCTAGGGGAGGAAGTTCATGAAGATCTATGTAGAGCAGTTTTCTTGATGTTTCTGATCTAAAGCATAAGTTGGCAAACTTTGTATGGCCCATGTACTAAGAATATTTTTTCCATTTTTAAAGCTTTGTTAAAAATAAGAAAATAAGGAATATTATGTGACCAAAATTTCATATGTGGCCACAAAGCCTAAAATATTCACTATCTAGCTCTTTACACAAAAATGTTTGCCAACTCCTGATCTTCACTGCCCTTTGGATAATAATAGAAATATATCTTCAAATTTGCCTTTTGTTTAATAATAGAAATATATCTCCAAATGTATCCAAGAGCCATGGTATCACACTGTTAGAAAATTCCTTAGGTGCAATTGATTCTTACTTGTCTCAGATATATCCTCCTACACAACTGGTCAGATTATATTCAAATTTCTGGTTATGTTATTTATGTTAGTGAAAACAATACTTATTCCAGGATGTATCATCACTAAAATCTTCCAATTTACCAAAAAATGTGCCTTCTGTATTACAAAGGAAGAGGAGTAATGAAAATCGTATATTACATTGCATAACACTTCCCTGTTTGTGAGGCACTTGGACTGGACTGGACCAGAGAGCAGCCCTTGGGCAGGGCAGGGAAGGCCAAGTGCAAATGCTCATCTTCTCTTCATCCCAGCTGACCATACCCTCAGCAAACTTCAACTGTTGGCTTTACAACTCCTACCTGATGATCCTGGAGACAGCCTCTACATCTTTCTCCACACACTTCTCCTGATGGTTGGTCATTATTGATTAGTCACAGTTGTCAGCTAACAGATGAGAGTTCTTTGCCATGTTGTCACCTAACAGACTAAGTTGGGGGTTTGGGGAGGGCTGGGGTAGTTGGAAAGGGGGGTTTGCAGATGGTTGGGATGGAGAAAGGGAAAACCAGAAGGTAGAGCTATCCAAGCAGGGTAAGAAAGTGAGAAAAAAAAGGAGACAGTAATTTCCAGTGCAGTGAATTAAGTTCCCTTTTTGGGCATGAACTGGCAAGTATTTTAGACTTACATGTTAAAAATAGAATAGATAACTTAGCAAATGACTACATGACTTTAAGTTTCTGAAAGGCAGAAAATGAGCTAGGAAAAGTTTTAAGACTCAAAGTCAGGGCCAAGAATGAGACAAAAAAGCAATGGAAACTAAAGAGACTGATTTGAGGGGATTAATGTGTGTATGCCTGTATGTATGTATTTATGTTCCCTAGGGATTATCCTTAATTAAAGAGTAAGCTACAGCCCCAATATGCATCCAATATTCAGTTTAAATCCTTAAGGGGATAGAAATACAGGGTGTTCTGAAGAATCTCAGGAATGTTAGGCTGCAGTAAAGTTAGAATAGAAAATGAAAAGGACCCAACAATGTCAACTGCCTATACTGGAAACTATCATCAACCTTTGTAGGTGAGTTCAATTGTTTAGAAAGGCTGTGTCCCTTCACCAGAGAATACTCTATGTGTGGAACAGATATGTAATAATGAATATCTGGACTGCCCAGTAATTTTTTTCATTAATTAAATATTTTAATATGGAGCATTTGTCACAATTTAAATCTGGTTTGAGAAACATCCAACTTCAGAAGCGGCATATTTCAGGAGTCTGTAATAAGCCAAATGACTGTAGAGGTGGAAAGTGCTCTCATGACAGTATAGTTCTGACTCCTCCAGTAATAGTTGAGCTCCCAGCTCAGGGGAATGGAATGAGAAATCACTTCAGCATTGCCTGTCAGCCCTGCTGATTCAACGTCCTTTCTGTTATACCCTGTGACCACTGTCTCACCAAAATGTACAGACTTCCTTTTTCACAGGAGAACACTGAGGCTATCTAGGAAATAACATTCCTGAGCATTCCTTATGCAACATGAAAGTTCTGTTGTCAGTTCTCAATGAAGCCATCAGATCTTCCTGACTGCTGCCTAACACAAGTAAGCTTACTGTCTTACAAGTAAGGCATACAACTTGCCTTACTCTCAAGTAAGCTTAGAAACATATTTTATATCTACTAGATAATTAGTAATATGCTAGCTGCTATAGGATGGAAGGAAATGAGAAAATAAGCCATCTTATTTGAAGTAGCTAACCAAGTCTTGCTCTAGATATAAGGAAATTAAATCAATTAGCAATGACATATAGTGCAATGCTTCATATTTTGGTATTAAATGTGCCTTGCAGAGTTTTCTCAACTCATTTTAAAACATGAATTTATAAAAATCTAAACAAAATGGTAAGAAAAGAAGAAAACATTTGTGCATGTGCTACTTCCAAATGTAAAAGAAAATACAAAAATGTTTCTAAGATAAACCTCTATATATACCAGTGTGTTGTCATCATGTTCTAAACTGTAGGAGCACAGGACTCCTGTATCATTCCCTGAGGATTCAGAAATTTGATCAAATAGAGATTTTCAGGAATTGCCTTCCAATCAATTTCCTGAGGTAAGTACGACAAATACATGGGGATACCAAGAACCAATATTTGTAAGGAAGAAAATGTTGATTTTCCAAAAAGGGGGATAAAAGTTTTGAAAGTTGCTGCCTAAAGAAAATAAACGCAAGTTCCATGACATTGGGTAATCAATCTCTCATTGTGACATCAAAAAAAAAATGAAAGACATACACAATAAACAAAAACATGGTAGTGAAGCACATATTGGTCATTACTAAAAGAAACTCAAACTTTTTTCTCCTTTGCTCTCACACCACAGCAAAAATCATCACAGAAGATTTCTGTGACCAAATATATAGGGGTTTTTCTCCACCAATAAGCAATCAATTCTGCAGTGGACATCATCTGGGAATCCTCCAATTCAACATCTGACACTATCCACCTGGAGATAGCATCAGATCCCACAGGTTGAAGGCACAGTCTTCATGACCACCTCCACTCTTCAGACACCAATTTTAAGTCTGGGCCTCCAGAACATCTGACCAACTGGGGTTCTCACAACCCCTCTTTGGATTCAATTAATTTCCTGGAGTACCTCACAGAACTCAGGGAAACATTTATTTGTGTTTATTTGTTTATTGTAAAGGATATTTTATAGACTACAAATAAAGAGCCAGAGATACTTAGGGTGAGGTCTGGAAGGGTCTTGAGTGTAGCAGTTTCTGCCTCCATGGAGGTAGAGTGCACCACCCTTCTTACATATGGATGAGTTCTTGTTCATCTCCCTGTAGGTCTCCCCATGTTTAGCTCTCTGGAAGCCCCTGAATCCCGTCCTCTCAGGCCTTATATGGAGACTTCATTGGATAGGCATGATTGCATCACGGACAACCATGTCACAATGTGACTGGACAAAAAGGGTATGATTTAAACTCAGCAAAGGCCAAACTGTTCAGATTCTTCACTCCTTTCTGTGCAGCATTCCTTCCTCCAGGGTATGGGGCAGGATCTTCTCTAGAATGAGGGTCTTATGACCCACAATCAGATTAGAGTCCTGTCTTGGAAAGGTGAAAGAAAGGAGGGCAGGAGGAGGTTAGAGGGAAAGATTCTCTTTATTGTAACAAAGGCTATGGGAGTTTAACCCCAGGAACTGTAGATGAAAATTGTCATATTATGATAAATCAAACAAAAACTGAGTTCTTGTAATAGCTTTGAAATAGTCTCAAATGCTTCTAAATAACACTGATATTATAAAATAGGTCTAATGGGACATTGAAAAGCCTGGTTGTTTCTGATGTTAGGATTAATAAGTAAAAACAAAAAAGAAACTGATTGGCACCTAAATATAAATATCCTGGTCAGGATTTAAAAAAGAATTCATATAAATGATACAACCACATATTTGAAAATGTGCAATATGTATTATCCAGGTATTAGCTGGATCCAGGTATTAGCTGGTATTTCAGCTACTATGGAGTAATTACTTTGTCTTTCTTATGGTTTCCAAAATGTAGATAAGGGAGTTTCACTGCATCTTCTGGAAGCCAAGCCTGAGTTTTGCCATCATTACATGAATTCTGCCACAAATCAGAAATTTGCATTATTGGTAAAGCTACTCAAACATAGCAAGCTAATTAATACATTATATTGCAGGAGAGAGGCTTAGAGAAATGATTACAATTACTTTCCAAAATGTAAAATCAATCATAAATTATCCTTACAATTGCTTGAACTGAAACCAAGAAATAAAGTAAATTACTCATCCTTTTAAGGCTGGTTGCAATAAACTCACTTTCTCAGATCTTTATGGCTTACTAGTTTTTCTGTTTATGTTCCTGACTTTAAGCTAAGTTACCACAGAGATTCTGCAAATATGGGTTTGTTTGTATGTTTGGAGATAATTGAAGTGGCTCTTTAAGAAGCATAAATTTGAAAATGTATTGCTTCAAGTTGCTTTGCAAGATTCATGCTGGGTCATTAAAAGAGAAAAAATTAAACCATGTGTCTTCAATGAGTGAAAGAAATATTATCTTCTAGATAAATGTCAGCCACATGGGGGAAAAATCAAGAAATCATATTTTTAACCCAAATACTCTAAGAATCTATTGCAAACTACACAATTTTATATAAAGTAGAACTACTAAAGATACAAATCAGGGTGAGATTAAAGGTTTCAAAATTGATGTGTGCTATTCAAAATCCCCTGACAAGTTGAAGACTTTCACAAAATAATAGTGGCCAAGCATCCTATTTTATGTTTATGCATGTGCCAACAGAAACAGTGTGACAAATGATAAGAAATGGAAAAAAAGTCTTGCAGTCAATGTGGACATCGCTAATACTTCTATTTACTATTGTCGGAGAATCAACTTAATTATTTTTTTAAAAAGTACAAATAAACTGAGTATACAAGATTTCTTATTTATAGTTCAAATGAAGAAAATAAAGAGAACAAAGCCCGATAATGTTTCTTAAAATAAGTATTGATTGAAAGTCACCTTTATTTCTTGGGTGTGAAGTAATTGCATATGTAGTGTATTAAGAATGTGATTCAGAGCAAGAAGTGCTGTAAATACTTCTATAATGGGGAATTAAAAATAGAGAAAAGATCATGAAAGAGATTACTATTTTCATAAAAATCCATTTTTCCACCTGTGCAATTAGCTATCATATGTTTAATCAACCTCTCTTATAGTTGCATGAAATTATGTGAGTTCTGACCATTGAAATGTGGGCAGAAATGATACATGTCATGTCTCAGCCTGGTTACTATTAAAAGAAGACTCCCAACAATTATCTCTGCTGTCTCTTTTCCCTAGTCTGCAAATAAGATGCAGACAAAACGGTAGAGGACTCTAAAGTCCTAAGGCAGGCACTACTTCCTTTGTTGAGAAAGTCTTGCTATGAACCTCGCTATAAATCATCAACCTAACTAAGCAGTATGCTTGGTTATACAGTTGATTTACATTCTGCCACAAGCTCCTTTTTTTTTTTTTTTTTTTTTTTTTTTTTTTTTTTTTTTTTTTTTGCTGCAGACAGGCAATTTGTAGACTCTTTGAATAGTACTGCCCTAGGAAGACAAAAGCAAGTTGGATCCCTGAGTCACTTCTTAGAACAAATCACCAAACCAATCACAGCCATATTTGACTGTTACCAAAATAAGAAATAGACTTCTATTATTTCAGTGAAACTACTAACATTATTGATTTTTTAAAAGCACTTAGAGAACCTTAATATATATTGTTAAAAAGAAAAAAGATTCTATGCTACAAATAAAATACACAGTACTTTCAGATGATCTTAAAATGTTGACAAAAGTTTTATGAATTCCACAAAGTGGAAATTAAGTAGAACACACATTCTAGCCATAAAAAATGAACTAGTAATTAAGATTACTTTAGTAATCTTAGTAAAGCTTTAGTAAGATTTAGTAAAAAGATTTAGTAAAGCTTAAATAAATGAAAAGTGAAAGCAAAATATTATCTTTGATAGCTCTTTGGCTAAAGAAGAAATTGAAAACTTTAAATAGCAAGCATTTAGAAAATGCCAATGATGAGGTCATTATTATTAAAATCAGGAAATCGAGGGCAAAGTTGTTTTGACATGCATTTTGTGAAGCAATAGTAAAAGCAATGAGTTAGGCAATCACTCAGTAAGTGTAATCAAGAACCTACAAATGCATAATACAGAAAAATGTTAAGAAATTATTTAATTTGAGGAAAAATATTAATTACCAAAATTCACTCAAAAAGAAGTTTATGCCTGATGAGAAAAATAGTTAAGAATACGTAAAACTTGTCATACCATAACTTCTACAAAAATGTAGAGGGAGTCAGTATACATTGTGTGAGTTTCAAAATCTAATAAGTCAGAAATATGTATATACATATTGAAATATATAAAAATATAATGTATATTTCTTTTAAATTATCAGAGTAAAGAAATTAAGCTAAATAAGAAGTATATATCAAAGAAAAAAGAAAAATGAAAAAATTTTAAGTCAACCTATTAAGCATAAGATAAGATGACAAAAGATCTAAACATATCTGCCATAATAGTAACAATAACAAACATACAAATAACTACATCAGGGTTCAAAAAACAGATGGAAACATATTGTGTTTATAGGAGACACACTTAAAATTGGCTTGGAATCTGTAAAATTGTTTAAAGATCTAACAAATAGATACAAGCACAAAGAAAGGAAGACTCAATATTTAAATGAGTCAAGTTTGAATTTAGGGTTATAAAAATAAATGCAACATATAGGATAACTTTTCATTAAGAAAATATTCAATAAAATATGCTAATAAAGGATAAAGCAAGTATTATTTGAAATATAAGGAGAAATAAACACAAATATAACTATAGTGGTAAGATAACTTTACAGAATTCTCAGCCCCAGCAAATTAAGTATAAAGTTCTAAAACTCAATGAGAGGAATATAACTAACTTGATTAAAAAACTGATATTAATATATAGAAACGTTCTCCTTGTTTTAAATTGCTCACATATTATTTACAAAAATCAACCATAGTGGCTCACAGAGACACAGTTAATAAGTTTTAAAATGTAGAAATTATACATGTTTTGCTCTCTGACTACTGTTTTGTTAATTAAAACTAAATGTATTAACACTGACTTAACATTGAACTTCTCTTAAACAATACATAGAGCCGGGCATGGTGTCTTATGCCTGTAATCCTAGCACTTTGGGAGGCCAAGGCAGGTGGATCACTTTAGGTCAGGAGTTCAAGAGCAGCCTGGCCAACATGGTGAAACCCCATCTCTACTAAAACTGCAAAAATTATCTGGGCATGGTGGTGCACGCCTATAGTCCCAGCTACTTGGGAGGCTGAGGCAGGAGAATTGCTTGAATCCCTGAGGTGGAGGTTGCAGTGAGCCGAGATCACGCCACTGCACTCCAGCCTGGACAATAGAATGAGACTCTGTCTCGAGGGAAAACAAACAAACATAGAAATGCTAATTAAATAAAACAAAACGTGTAGAAAAGCTTAAAGCTTATCTTTATGTTAAGTAAACTGAAAATTACATGTATAAGCTCAGAAGCTGTTACCAGATCAGACTTGGAAAAATCTTGGATCTGGATATAAGACCTAATGGCAAGAGTTTTTATGCCCGATATAAATAAAAGATATGGCCTTGAGCTCCTGAGTGGTAGAAAAATAGTATTGAGATCTTTGAATCAAGCTCTTTCAGTAAAAAGGCAAATTTTAAAATCTTCAATCACTGGAAGATAGAAGACACAAGGTTCAAGACAAAATAAAGTAAAAATCACTTCAAGCAGGTAAGGCATTGAAATTTATAGCACCTGAATGGTGAAGAATTCTCAAACAAGAAATAATCCTGTAAACTATTCTCAGTATATTCCTCAGTGAAGTAAATGCAAAATTGTCTCCAAAAAATAGTTCTACAGTTCAAACTTTACAGGTGTGCCAAAGGAAAACCTGCTTCTACTAAAAATTAACATACATTAAAAAAATTAACAAAAATGCAAAAAGAAAACATCACCATGAGTGAGAGTCAGCAGACAACAAATTGGAGGTTAGCATCCCTTGAGCTTAAGATCAATTGTTCCTTGAGTTCAAGAAATAATATTCTGAGAGACTCAAGAGGAAGTATGCTTTAAATAACTCAACAATAAATGAAGTAATATAAATCAGAAGAAAATAATAAAATAGTATAAATAAAAACAACATACAAATTTTGAATAAATATAAAAAGAACTTCCAGAAATAAAAAATGTGGTAGTAAAAATACAAACCTTAAGAAACTTAATGGTGGATTTAGAAGATTAGACATAGATGAAGATATAATTAGTACATTCAAAGAAACATATGAGGAAAGTACTCAGAATGCAATATAAAAAGTTGAAGAGATAAAAAATCTGAAAGATCAGTAAAGAAACAATGGAGAAACAAATAATTTATATCTGAGAATGTATTATATACATGAAATAATATACATCAACTGAAATTATAATAATAATAAACTACATAATTAATAATGTTGGGACACTTGGTTATCTCTATGGAAAAATTAAAATGAATATCTGACTTACTCTTTATTAAAAAATCAAATCGAGATGAATTAATTACACAAGTATAAAATATAATCTTTCAAAGTTTTAGAAAAATATAGTATTTTTTATAAAGTTAGGCTAGGAATGATTTCAAAATATTATACAACATAAATTATAAAGAAAAGGACTAAGCTTTAATGTAGTTACATTAAAATTTAAATCTTTTCACAGAAAAGAATAACATAAAAATCAAAACACAGGTACGAGCAGAGCATGTAACTGGTAATGCATTAGCATCCAGCATATATTAAACATTTCACCCAGGAAGTGGAGGTTTCAGTGAGCCAAGATCATGCCACTGCACTCCAACCTGGGCAACAGAGAAAAACTCTGCCACAAAAAAATAATAATAAAAATTCAAATAGTCTATAAGAAGCCATCAAGATAAAAACAAATAGAAGAATGGTCAAAGGATATGAACAGAAATTTTACAGAAAACGAATCCAATAGACAATAAACATGAAAACCAATCTTATTAATAAACAGAAAAATTCAAATTTTAATAAGATACCAAATTATTGTCTTGTTGGCAAAAATTAACAAGTCTGACAAAATGTTGATAATTAAGCAGGGATACCTTGACTCATATTTTGCTGGTTGGATATGAATTGTTACAACAAAGCAATTGGGCAATGTATAGTAAAGTTTTAATAATTGTACTATTTCATCTAACAATTTTACTTCTAGGTAAATCATATTTCAAAAGCTTCCCCTTGAGCATTAAAAGACATATACAAAGATATACTTTAAAACATTATTTATAATAGCAAAAAAAGCAACCTAATTTTATATCTGTGGAAAAATGAAAATATATTTATTTATTTATGTAATTTAACACTATACCAAGGTGAAAATTAGTAGATATACATAAGCCAACATGAACAAATGTAAAAAACATCAATATTGAGAAAAACTGACCTGCAAAAAGTTAGGTATATTATGCCATTTATGTAAATGTTTTAAACAACAAAACATTGTTTTAAATTGACTGAAGGCATTTAAATTGAAATTTTTATCAATATAATGAGATTATTTAAGATATATGTGAAAATGATACATTTGAAATTTAGAATTTGTGTGTACTCTGAAAGAAAGGCAAAAAACATGGATCTTAAACCACAAATTAGGTTCTAAAAAATAAACAAACTTGTAGATAATTAAATATGTTAAATCTTTGTTGTGTGTACATAATTGTATGCCATATTATCTTTTGCATTTTCCTAAATGTTTAAAATATTTTACATGTGAAATCAAAAGTACAAGAAAAAAGAAAAAAAAGTTTGACTTCATCAAAATTAAAAATTTTCATATTTCAAAAAACACAGTTAGGAAAGTTAAAAGGCAACTCACACAATGGAAGAAAATTTGATATAGATTACATTGAATCTATAGATTCCTTGGGTAGTGTATTAGTCTGTTTTCACACTGCTGATAAAGACATATCCAAGACTGGGCAATTTACAAAAGAAAGAGGTTTAATGGACTCACAATTCCATATGGCTGGGGAGGCCTCACAATCATGGTGGAAGGCAAGGAGAAGCAAGTCACATCTTACACGGGTGGCAGCAGGCAAAAAGAGAGCTTATGCAGGGAAACTCCTGTTTTTAAAACCATCAGATCTCATAAGACTCATTCACTACCATGAGAACAGCATAGGAAAGACCTGCCCCCATAATTCAATCACCTCCAACCAGGGTCCTCTCACTACACATGGGAATTGTGGGAATTACAATTCAAGGTGAGATTTGGGTAGGGACACAGCCAAACCATATCATTCCATACCTGGGCCCTCCCAAATCTCATGTCCTCACATTTAAAAACAATTATGCCTTCCCAACAGTCACCCAAAGTCTTAACTCATTTCAGCATTAACTCAAAAGTCCACAGTCCAACGTCTCATCTGAGACAAGGCAAGTCTTTTCCGCCTGTGAATCTGTAAAATAAAAAGTAAGTTAGTTACTTCCTAGATACAATGGAGGTACAGGCATTGGGTAAAAACGGCCATTCCAAATGGGAGAAATTGACCAAAACAAAGGGGCTACAGGCCCTATGCAAGTCTGAAATCTGGCAGGGCAGTCAAATCTTAAAACTCCAAAATGATCTTCTTTGACCCCATGTCTCGCATCGGGTCATGCTGACGCAAGAGGTAGGTTCCCATGGTCTTGGGCAGCTCTGCCCCTGTGGCTCTGCAGGGTGCAGCCTCCCTCCCAGCTGCTTTCATGGGCTGGTGTTGAGTGTCTGCAGCTTTTGTAGGTGCCCAGTGCAAGCTGTTGGTGGATCTACTATTCTGGGGGCTGGAGGATGGTGGCCCTCTTCTCACAGCTCCACTAGGCAGTGCCCCAGCAGGGACTCTCTGTGGGGGATCCTACCACACATTTCTCTTCTGCACTGCCCTAGCAGAGGTTCTCCATGAGAGGCCCCTGCCCCCCGACCCCTAGCAAATTTCAGCCTGGATATCCAGGCATTTCCACATATCCTCTGAAATCAAGGCAGAGGTTCCTAAACCTCAGTTCTTGATTTCCGTGCACCTGCAGGCTCAACACCACATGGAAGCTGCCAAGGCTTGGGGCTTGCACCCTCTGAAGCTGCAGCCTGAGCTGCACCTTGGCCCATTTTAGTCATGGCTAGAATGGCTGGGATGCAGAGCACCAAATCTCTAGACTACATACAGCATGGGGACCCTGAGCCTGGCCCACAAAACAATTTTTTCCTCCTAGGCCTCTGGGCCTGTGATGGGAGGGGCTACTGTGAAGACCTCTGACATACCCTGAAGACATTTTCTCTGTTGTCTTGATTAACAATGACTCCTTATTACTTATGCATTTGGCTCCTCATTACTTATGCAAATTTCTGCAGCCAGCTTGAATTTCTACTCAGAAAATGGGGTTTTCTTTTGTATCACATTGTCAGGCTGCAAATTTTCTGAACTTTTATGCTCTGCTTTCCTTATAGAACTGAATGTCTTTAACAGTACCCAAGTCACCTCTTGAATGCTTTGCTGCTTAGAAATTTCTTCCACCAGTTATCCTAAATAATCTCTCTCAAATTCAAAGTTCCACAAATCTCTAGGACAGGAGCAATGTGCCACCAGTCTCTTTCCTAGAGCATAACACAAGTCACCTTTGCTTCAGTTGCAAACAAGTTCCTCATCTCCATCTGAGACCACCTCAGCCTGGACCTTATTGTTCATATCGCTATCAGAATTTTTGTCAAAGCCATTCAACAAGTCTCTAGGAAGTTCTAAACTTTTCCACATTTTCCTGTCTTCTCCTGAGCCCTCCAAACTGTTCCAACCTCTGCCTCTTACCCAGTTGCAAAGTCATTTCCATACTTGCAGGTATCTTTTCAGCAATGCTCCACTCTACTGGTTCCAATTTACTGTATTAGTCCATTTTCACACTGCTCATAAAGACGTACCTGAGACTGGGCAATTAACAAAAGAAAGAGGTTTATTGGACTTACAGTTCCACATGGCTGGGAAGGCCTCACAATAATGGCAGAAGATGAAAGGCACATCTCACATGGTGGCAGAAAAGAGAAGAGCTTGTGCAGGGAACCCCCTGTTTTTAAAACCATCAGATCTTGTGAGACTTATTCACTATCATGATAACAGTACAGGAAAGGCCCATCCCCATAATTCAATCACCTCCCACTGGGTTTCTCCCATGACACGTGGGAATTGTGGGAGTTACAATTCAAGATGAGATTTGGGTGGGAACACACCCAAACCATATCAAGTAGTATCGGCATTTTAACAGTACTGATTCTTCCAATTCATGAGCGTGGAATATTTTTCTCATTTTTCTGTGTTCTCTTCAATTTCTTTCATCAATGTTTTGCAGTTTTCAATGTGGAGATCTTTTGTTTCTTTTGTTAAGTCAATTCCAAGGTATTTCATTTTGTTTGTAGCTATTGTAAATGGGATTACTTTCTTGATTTCTTTCTCAGATGGTTCATTGTTGGCATATGTAAATGCTACTGATTTTTGTATGTTGATTATTGTATCCTGCAACTTTTCTGAATTTGTTTATCTGTTCTAATAGTTTTTTGGTGGAATCCTTAGTTGTTTCCTAATATAAAATCATATTATCTGCAAATAAGGATAATTTGACTTCTACGTTTCCAATTTGAATGCTCTGTATTTGTTCCTCTTGGTGAGATTACTCTAGCTAGGAGTTCAGGTACTATGTTGAATAACAGTGGTCAAAGTTGGCATCTATGTGCTCCAGATCTTAGAGGAAAGGCATTCAGTTTTTTCCCATTCAGTATGATAATAGCTATGAATCTGTCATACACAGCATTTATTATGCTAAGGTATGTTCCTTCTATACCCAGTTTTTTGACAGCTTTTATAACGAAGGAATGTTGAATTTTATCAATTGCTTTTTCAACATCAATTGAAATGGTCATATGGGTTTTTTCTGCATTCTATTGATATAATGTATCACATTGATAGATTTGTGTATGTTGAACCATCCTTGCATCCCTGGGATAAAATCCCACTTGGTTATAATGAATGACTTCTTTAATGTGTTGTTGAATTAGGTTTGCAAGTAGTTTGTTGAAGATTTTTTCATCCATGTTCATCAGAAATATTGGCCTGTAGTTTTCTTCTTTTGATGTGTCTTTGTCTGTTTTTGGTATCAGGGTAATACTGGCCTCATAGAATAAGTTTGGAAGTATTCCCTCCTCTATTTTTTAGAATAGTGTGAATAGGATTGTTATAAGTTCTTTAAATGTTTGGCAAAATTCAGCAGTAAAGCTCTCGGGTTCTGGGTTTTCTTTGCTGGGAGACTTTTTTTTACAGCTTCAATCTCATTCCTTGTTATTGGTCTCTTCAGGTTCAGGATTTCTTTATGACATATTGGATTTCTTCATGGTTCAATCTTGTTAGGTTGTATGTGTCTAGGAATTTATTTTTCCTAGGTTTTCCAATTTATTGGCATATAGTTGCTCATAGCAGCCACTAATGATCCTTTGAATTTCTGCAGTGTCAATTGTAATGCCTCATTTTGCACTTCTGATTTTATTTATTTGGATCTTCTCACTTTTTATCTTGGCTAGTCTGGTTAAATATTTGTCAATTTTGTTTATCTTTTTTTAAAAAAACTTTTCATTGATTTTTGTATTGTTTTTTCATTTCAATTTCATTTATTTGTGCTCTGAACTTAATTATTTTTCTACTAATTTTGGGTTTGTTTTGCACTTGCTTTTCTAGTTCTTTAAGATGCATTAGGTTGTTTCTGTGAAGTTTATCTGCTTTTTTTGTATAGGCATTTATTGTCATAAATGTTCCTCTTATTTGTGCTCTCTCTTTATCCCACAGGTTTTGGTTTGTTGTGTTTCCATGACCATTTCAGTGGAATTTCCAATTTTTCTCTTAATTTCTTCATTGATTCTCCTGGTCATTCAGGAGCATATTTTTTAACTTCCATGTGTTTGTATAGTTTCAAAAATTCCTCCTGTTATTTATTTCTAGTTTTGTTCCATTATGTTCAGATAAGATACTTGATATAATTTCAGTTGTTTTGAATTTTTAAAGACTTGGTTTGTGGCCCAACGTATGGTCTATTCTTGAGAATAATCCATGTACTGAGAATAATAATGTGTATTCTGCAGCTGTTGGGTGAAATATTCCATACCTGTGTGTTAGGTCCATTTGGTTTATAGTGCAGATTAAGTCTGATATTTCTGTGTTGATTTTTCTCTCTGGATTATCTTTCCAATGCTGAAAATGGGGTGTTAAAGTGTCCAAGTATTTCTGTGTTGAGGCCCATCTTTCTCTTTAGTTCTAGTAATATTTGCATTATATATCTGAGTATTCCAGTGTTGGGTGTATATGTAATTACAATTATTATATCTTCTTGGTGAATTGACCCCTTTATCATTATATAGTGACCTTTGTTGTCTGTTTTTATAGTTATTGCTGATATCTATTTTGTCTGATATAGGTATAGCTACTCCTGCTCATTTTTTATTTTCATTTGCCTAAAATATCTTTTCTAATTCCTTTATCTTCTGTCTATGTGTGTCTTTTTTCTTTATTTTTTTTTTCTTTTCTTTTTTTTTTTTTTTTTTTTGAGATGTAGTCTCACTCTCTCTCCTAGCCTGCAGTGCAGTGGTGCAACCTTGGCTTACTGCAACCTCTGCCTCCCATGTTCAAGCGATTATCATGCCTCAGCCTCCTGAGTAGCTGGGACTACAGGCACATGCCAAAACACCTGGCTAATTTTTGTAATTTTAGTAGAGAGAGAGTTTCACCATTTTGGCCAGGTTGTTCTTGAACTCCTGACCCTCAGGTCATCCGCCCGCCTTGGCCTCCCAAAGTGCTGGGATTACAGGCGTGAGCCACTGCTCCCAGCCTATGTGTATCTTTATAGGTCATGTGTGTTTCCTGTAGGTAATGAATCATTGGGTCTTTTTTTTTTTTAATCTATTCAGCCACTCTATGTCTTTTCCTTGGAGAGTTTAATTCATTTACATTTAATGTTATTATTGATAAGCAAGGACTTACTCTTGTCATTTTGTTATTTGTTTTCTGGTTTCTTTTTTTTTTTGTGGTCTTTCTTCCCTCTCTCCTCCCCTCCCTCCCTGTCTTTCTTCCTACCTTTCTTCTTTTCTTCCTGTCTTTATTTTTGTGAAGGTGATTTTCTCTGGTATTATGTTTTAATTTCTTCCTTTTTATTTTTTGTGTATCTCTTGTAGGTTTTTTGATTTGAAGTTACTATGAGGCTTCCAAATAACTTCTTATAACCCATTATTTTAAACTGATGACAACTTAACACTGGTGGCAAAAACAATGTAATTAACAAAGAGAAAACTAGTTTGAAAAACTCTACAGTTTAACTTCATTCTCCTCACTTTTTAACTTTTTGTTGCTTCTATTTATATATTATTATACTGTCTATCTTGAAAAGGTGTTGTTATTATTTTTGATAGGCTTATTTTATTTTTTAGTCTTTCTACTCAAGATATGAGTAGTTTACACATCACAAAGAGTGTTATAATATTCTGTATTTGTCTGTGCACTTACTACTACCAATGAGTTTTGTACCTTATTGATCATAAATGTTTTTTTCTTTCAGATTGAAGAATTCCTTTAACATTTCTTATAGGACAGGTCTGGTGTTGGCGAACTCCCTCAGCTTTTGTTTGTCTGGGAATATCTTTATTTTTCTCATGTTTGAAGGATATTTTCATGGATATACCATTCTAGGATGAAAGGTTTTTTTTCTTCAGCACTTTAAATATGTGAAGCTACTCTCCTCTGGCCTGTAAAGTTTCCACTGAGAAGTCTGCTGACAGATGTATTGGAGCTTCTTTGTATCTTACTTGCTTCTTTTCTCTTGCTGCTTTTAGGGTACTTTTTTCTTAACCAAGCAGATTCTTCTTTTTTTTCTAGATCTTGTAAAAATGCTTCATTATTTTTTATTCTTTTTTCTTTCATTTCTTTTTACTTGTATTTTCAAATAGCCTGTCTTCAAGCTCACTACTTTTTTTCTTTTGTTTGACCAGTTATGCTGTTGAGAGACTCACACATTCTTCAGTACAGCATTGAATTTTTCAGCTTTACAATTTCTGCTAGAGTTTTAAAACCTCAGCAAACTAACACAGGAACAGAAAAACCAAACATTGCACGTTCTCACTCATAAGTGGCAGTTGAACATTGAGAACACATGGACACAGGGAGGGGAACATCACACATCCAGGCCTGTTGTGGCGTGCGGGGAAATGGGAGGGAGAGCATTAGGACAAATACCTAATGCCTGCAGGGCTTAAAACCTAGATGATGGGTTGATAGGTGCAGCAAACCACCATGGCACATGTATACGTCTGTAACAAACCTGCACATTCAGTACGTGTATCCCAGAACTTAAAGTAAAATAAAATTAAAATCAAAAATCTAAAAAAATCATCTCAATTCCTTTGTTAAATTTATGTGATATTATTCTGAATTCCTTCTCTGTGTTATGTAGAATTTCATTGAGTTTTCTCAAAACAGCTATTTTGAATTCTTTGCCTGAAATGTCACATATCTGTGTCACTCCAGGATTTATCACTGGTAGTTTATTTAGTTCACTGGGGGAAGTTATGTTTTCCTGGATGGTCTTGAGGCTTGTGGATATTGGTTGATGTCTGGGCATTGAAGAAGTAAATATTTATTCTCATCTTCACAGTCTGGGCTAGTTGGGACCCATGCTTCCTAGGAAGGCTTTCCAGGTATTCAAAGGAACTTGAATGTTGTGATCTAAGCCTTGGGTCACTGCAGTCATATCTATATTAAGGGGCACCCTAAGGCTAGTCACACTGTGACGCTTGCTGACTCATAAGGGTACAACTTTGGTGGTCTTGGATAAGATCTGGAAGAATTTTCTGGATTACCAGGCAGAGACTCTTTTCTCTTCCCTTACTTTTCCCCAAACAAATAGAGTCTCTTTGTGCTGAGCTGCCTGGAGCTGGGGGAGGGGTGACCAAGCACCCCTGTGGTCACCCCAGTAACAACTGCTGGGTCAAACCTGAAGCCAGTACAGCACTGGGTCTCACTCAGGGCCCAAAGAGACCACTGCCTGTGTACCTCCAGTGTTCATTCAAGGCCCAAAGGCTCTTCGGTCAGCAGGTAGTGAATCCAGCCAGGCTTATGTCCTACCCTTCAGGGCAGCAAAGTCCTCCCCTGACCAGGTTTGCTATCCAGAAATGCTGACCAGAAATGCTATCCAGGAGCCAGGACCTGGAGTTGGAGACTGTAGGAATCTACTTAGTGCTCTGTTCTACGATGGTTCATCTGGCACCCAATCCATAAGACAAAGTCCTTCCATTCTTCCTTCTTCTCCCCTCAAACAGAAGACATCTCTCCCCATGCACCACTGCCCCTGGACTATGGGGAATTCTGCCTGGCTACTGCCAATGTTTACTCAAGGCCCAAGCTCTCTTCATTTACCCTATGGTAAATGCTGCTAGGCCTGGGTCTCTCCCTTCAGGGAAGTGGTTTTCCCTTTGGCTCAGGATGAGTCCAAAATGCTGTCCAAAGCCTGAAACTGAGGACCTCAAGAGCCCACTTGGTGGTCTACCTTACTGTGGCCAAGGTGCAAGACAAAGTTTCCTTTACTCTTCCCCTTCCTTTCCTCAAACAGAAGGAGTCTCTCCCCATAACCATTCCAGCTGGGAATGTGCTGAGTCACAACTGAAGCCAGCATGGCACTGGGTCTCACTCAAGGTTCACGGCATGTACTGCCTGGCTACCACTTCTGAATATTCAGGGCCCATGGGCACTTTAGTCAGCAGGTGATAAATATCTCCAGTATTATGTTCTTCTCTTCAAGGCAGCTGGTTCCCTCGCGGCCCAGGGTGTATCTAGAAATGTCATCCAGGAGCTAGGGCCTGTAATGGGTACCTCAGAATTCTGTCTAATGCCCTATTCTACTGTGGCTGAGCTGGTATCCAAGTTGCATACCAAGCTGGTATGCAAGGGGAAAGTTACTCTTCCCTCCCCTCTTTTCAAGCAAAGGGAAGGAGTCTCTCTTAGAGCTGTGACCTGCACTCCTAGGGTTGGGGGAGTGGTGACACAAGCACTTCCTTGGCCACTCTGGCCAGTGTCTTGGTGGATCACATGGACCTCATGTCCACCAGCTTTAAGTTCAGTATAGCACCAGGACTTGCCCAGGAATTGTAGTCTTTGTGGCCTAGATTGCCTTTCAAGTTTATTTAGAACTCCAGAGTGCTTTAGCTTGAGATAGTAGGGCTATACAGAACTCAGAATCTGATTGTTAGGATGGATGATTCCCCTCTGGCTAGGGCTGGTCCAAATGCTCTCTTTGTGGATGCCAGCTGAATTCTGCACTGAGTTGCTTTCCACTGTGACAGGCAGCACTGAATTCAAATGTAAAGCCCCACAATCACTGTGCTCTCCCTCTCCCAAGTGCACAGATTCTCTTCCAAGCCATGTGGCTGCTGGTGGTGGTTGGAGGAGGAGTGGTATTCACAATTTAAGACTGTATTTTCTACCCTCTTCACTGCCTCTTTCCTCGATATAATATTAAAACCAGATACTGTGATCACTCATCTGATTTTTGGTTCCTATGGAGCTGCTTTCTTCTTTGGATCGTCGTTCAACTTGGTTTTCCTGTGGTGTCAGGCAATTGCTACAGGGTTCTATTTGGCCATCTTGCTCAACATGCCTCTCATAACTTTTTTATTTAGAAAAAAATCATAAGGATTATAATCATTAAAAAAATAAATACAAGGAAAGCCCTAGGGTAGAGTTCAGAAATCTAGCACATATAACTAATGCTTATTAGATGTATGGTTCTAGGTTCTGTTATTTGATGCTTTTATGCTTTAATTTTCTCACCTGGAAATAGTATATTACATAACAAAAAATGGCACTGGTATGAAAAACATGAAATACACAGTTGGCAAAGAGTAGTGTTCAAAAAGTGTCAGATATTAAGAATTAATTTACAACATTCTTAAATTTTTCAGACTAGTGTAAATAAAAGCAAATTTTTCTTTGACATTTTACATTAATCCTGAATATTTCCACTTTGGGTAATTCTCCTGGAGGAATCAGAAGCAAGTTATGACATGCTTTCTAAAACAAACTTCTATCTTCTATGCAAATGGAAATTAATAGACATTTATAAACATGAGAATAATCTAATCACACTTAGGAAGATTATCTGATGGCAGAATAAACAGACTGGCGGATGCAAAGACTTGGGTTAAGGAGTGATCAGATGAAACTACTAGGCATTGCTGGAGGAGAAAGACAAGAGTCTAAGCTAGATAATAATGGAGAGGGTGAGTTCTTGAGTCGTTGTCTTCTTCACGGAAAACCCAAATTTCATCTATTGATTAGACTTCACGTTAAAAATGTGAAACCAGACTTTGTTCCATTTTGCTTCCTCTTCAATATTTATAGAAATGGGTTGCAATACGGCTTTCCTCACTCATGCATAACATAGAAATCCTTATATGGAAAAGAACGTAGACTTTTTTAAGTTCGTGGATAGAGAATGGGGCAATGATGTTTGACCTGATAATGATATATTTATATAGAACTTTACGGTGTACACAGTGCTTTGAAAAACATTATATTATTTTTGATGCCTCATTTATCTCACATGGTAGGTAGGGTCACAACTGTATTCCTATTTTAGATATGAGTAATCTCACGTTTAGAAAATTTCAAATGAGTTACTCAAGATTATTTTACTAGTTAATGACAGATCTAAGACTTAAAATTACATATTTCGATTCCATGTTGAATATTGCTACATGGTAGGTAAAACACACATCCTCATAAAGCAAATCACGAGTTGCAAGGGAGGACAGAAAAAGCATACACTCCACCTCACAATAAACACCATTTTCTTCTTTAAATTTTCATGAATGAATGGATTACTTGTATTGATTAAATTCACTTTTAAACGTTATTTCTCTTTTTCATCATCTATATGTAGAATATCAATTTATCAAAATACAGCTAACTCTAAAATGTCAGTTATTCATCCAAGACTGTAAATAGCCTTATTGATAAATACTGAGTGACTTTCCTACTTCTTTCTTCAGACTTAGTAAAAGAGTGCCTGTAATATGCTAACAGTTAAATAGCAACATGAATAATTCTCAAGAGTCAGGCAAGCCTATAGTGTTTTATACTGCATTTAACATTTTTCTCTATGGAACATATCTTAGTCTTTGAAGTTATACATTTGTGAACAAGAAGCAACTTCAAATTACCATTATTCTATATTTTTATAATTCTCACTGCATATTTGCAAGAAAAATTGACAGCAGAGAACATTAATGTAGAAAACGTGTTATTTTGAAACATTTCTACCATGTAGTCACAATAATAGAACAGGTTGATTTAATTTTCCTTGAACTTTTTTTCTCTCTTAGAGAGGAGGCATATATATAGATCTGTTTTCACTTTATTTGCCCCTCTCAAAAATGTTTCAATTGGTTTCCTATTTAAAATATATATGTCAATTAGGGGAAAATACATGTTTAATCAGTGAGTTTGCAGGAATAGGTACTATTTAGTATTAATAGTTTACAGGTAGCTTAATAGTTTACTATTAAATAGGTACTATTTAGAGAAGCATAATAATTTTCTAAGCTGGAAAAATTAAGAGGTCAACCCCATAAAAATTCATTGTCTTTTCTTTATAATGAGTAACACGCTAATATAAGGACAAGATTGCCTTAAGAGTATTTTCCATCCTTATTTAAGTTGAATATGGTTTTCTCTTTTTAAAACTCTTGTTTTATAATATTAAAATATGCTTGTTATAACAAGTGAAACATTACAGAATAGAGAATTCAAATACAAAGCTTATTATCTCACCTTCGTTCACTCCAATATTAGATAAACAAAACTTAAAGGCAGTTGTCATCATCAGACCTGTACAAAAAAATTATTAAAGAAAGATCTTAAAGCTGATGGGAAATCCTAACAGATGGAAATTTAATTTTACTCATAGAGATGAAGCTATTTAATATGCAGCTAAATATAAAATACTTTTTTCTCATGATTTAGTTTATTTAAAAATGAATCATTGATTAGGCTTTGTAAAAACTAAAAACTTTTATTTATGAAAAGTCACTACCAAGAAAGTGAAAAGATGACCCACCCAGTGGAAGAAAATATTTGCAAATCATATATTATATAACAACCAAATATCTGGAATGCATAAAGAACTCTTACAACTCAACAGTAAAAAGAAAAATTACTCAGTTAAAAATTGGGCAAAAAATTTGAATAGACATTTCTCCAGAGGAGATATACAAATGGCCAAGAAGCACATGGAAAGTGTTCAACATCATTAGTCATTAGGGAAATGCAAATTAAAACCACAATGTGATAACACTTAACATCCATTAGGATAACCATAATTCTAAAAAACAAGTATTGGAGAGAATTAAATAAATGTGAGCCCTGATACATTGCTGATAGAAATATAAAATGGTGCAGCCACTGTAGAAAACAGTTTGTCCATTTCTCAAAAAGTTAAACACAGAGTATCATATGACTTAAAAGTTCTGCTCATTGGCATATACCCAAAAGAACTGAAATCAGATATTCACAATAAATTTGTGTACAAATTTTCATAGCAGCATTATTTCTAATATCCAAAAATTGAAAACAACCCAAATGTTTATAATGTGGTATATACATACAATAAAATATTATTCAGTCATAAAAATGAATGGAAACTAGAAACAAGTGTCCATCAAAACAAAACATAAAAAAACTATAGGAAAATTCATCAATGGATGAATGAATAAAAATGTAATACACACAATAGAATACTATATAGCCATGAGAAAGAACAATATTCTGTCATTTTTAACAACATGAATGAAGCTACAGAACATTATACTAAGTGAAATAAGCCAGGCACAGAAAGGCAAATACTGCATAATGTCACTTACATGAGAAATTTTAAAAAGTCAAACTCACAGAAGCAGAGAAGACAACGGTGGTTACTAGAACCTAGGGGTTTCAGGGGTGTGAGGAATGGGGGTATGTTGGGCAAAGGGTACAAAGTTCCAGTTAGACAAGAGGAATAAATTTTAGAAATCTATTGCACAACATGGTAACCATAGATTATAATAATGTATATTTCAAAATTGTGAAATGAGTTTATTTTAAATGTTCTCACCAAATAAATAAATAAATAGGTGAAGTGGTAGATATGTTAATTAGCTTGATTTAGTCTTTTTATTATTTATACATATATCAAAAATATCACATTATATCCCATAAATATATACAATTATTGTCAATTAATTTTAAAATTTTTTAAATGTATATATATCAATTCTATTTTAAAATAAGTGTATTTTTGTCATTATCTTTCTACTTATAAGAATTATTTATATATTCTGGGTACTGATCTGTCAATTTTATGTGTTGCAAGTATTTTTGGCTGTTTGAGACTTTATTTTCACAAACACAGTCTTGAATTTTAGCATAGTCTAGTTTAGCAATCATTTCTTTTTTGGTTAGTGCTTTCTGAGTAAAATTTAAATATCAGCATTCATTTACTTACAAACACTAGAAAATTCAACTTAAATTGCCATAAACAAAAAATGTAACCGTTGTCTCATACAATGGCAGGGTCTTTGGGGAATGATATCTTCAGGTACAGCTTTATTTAGAAACAAATGACCACCAGGTCTCATCTCTGTATTCTGGCTCCTGAAGGTTGGCTTCCTTCATTCCCATATTCTCGGTGTTGGTCACTGGCAGCCTTAGGCTCCTGATGAATGCAAAATATGATACCTCCAGACCTTTCACTTTCATACTATCAAATCCATAGGAACTATATAAGGAAAGTTTCTCTTTCCCAGAAGCCCCAGCAAACATAACCTCACAATGGTTCTTATTTGCATACATGTCCATCTTGAACCTGTAACTATGGCTAAGAGGATGGGCATGCTGATTGGTTTAGAACAATCAGGACTCACTTCTGCATCTGAAAATTGAGTCAACTACTGAAAAGCACAGGAGCTAAGAGTGGGAAAATCAGGGTAAAGTTACCAAAAACACTAATCCTTTGGTATTGGTGGCCAAAAAAACTAATAAATGTTCAAATAATGATTATTTTTAACTTCACATGTGACACTGATACACTATTACTACTAGAGTTAAGAATAGACACTTTAAATACTAGCATTTCCATTGACTATGTGATAATTACTTATCCTAAGTCACAATTGCTTCACATTTAAAATAGAAACAAAATACATAGTTAAGGTTATTGTGGATGAAATAAAAATTATACATAAAGCACTTGATACAATGCATGATAAATGTAGTGATGTAATAATTATTAACATTTGAACATTAATACAAAGCATGTGCTGCCTTTCCTAAGGGTAGTTGCATGTGAAGATTCCTCTCGGATTATTATACTGATGGTGTCATCCTTTGTGAATTAAATATCAGTGAGGGGAGATGAACCCACAATGCAGTTTTGTCTGCCCCAGTGAAATCCAACCCTCAGAGATCTGTAGTAAAGAAGAGAAACAGCACAGATCTTCATTCTCAACAGACCCGCTGTGCTGTTTTAATCTTACCTCAAGTTCTTCCTTTTGCTAAAAAAATGTGAATTTAGGGAATTTGGTTAACTTATCTGTAATTTTCTTATCAATAAAATGCCCAATAACATCAGCAAAGAGAGTAAAATTTACATTAGATGGCTAGACCTTCACCAAAATAAGAACTCAATGAACGTGAGTCCTCCTACTCCCTTCCCCGACACCAAACCCAGGACTTTTTTAGCCCTTCACATTTCTTTAATGTTCCTAAATCAACATTCACTAGCAAAAGCATACATCCTTTCAAGGAAACAAATATTCTTAGGGTTTCTCTCCAAAAATGTATTCCCAAGAAAAGCCATCATCCAGGGAATACTCAAGATGGGGCAAAGCACTTCCCATTTACTGTAAGAACATTGCAAAGTGGTGTGAAGCCAAATATTTAATTTATTCTGTTTTGGCTTATTTTGGCCAATTTTGAATTCTTGCTTATTTGGGGGGAAACCGCACTTACAACACCCAGCATGAGAGGGATTTTTCAGGTCAATTAAGAAACAAAAATGCATTTAATGTAAATGTTGGAGTCTTTTAAAACAGACTATTATATTCTTACATGAAGAAAGTTCACCAAAGTCCTACTGTTATTGTTCCATGAGGCTATATTATGCTATTATTACTGGCAGCCAGTGAGAAAAGATATTTAGTTAATCTACACACTAAAAACAAGTTTAAGAATATTTGAAAACAAATCAATCTCTAAGCACGTTTTCACTGACTACTGGATCTGCCCACTATCTATTAGCAATACAAGGAAAACCAAAGAAATCATAATTTTTAAAAACGTAAACCATTACAGACACAGAATGATATTAGTTAATCATATGCAAAAGCAATTGCTAACATAATATTGGGAACTGGCCAGACCGTAGGCCCATTTTGCTTTTTGTACCATATATTCCTGGGAAGGTCTTAATATTTACTTGGTCTAGGATTTCAAAATCTAATTATGTACATTGCAAGTGTTATATTTAAACCTTTGGCAATTTCTACTCACCCCAAATAACTTCAGTCAATTATTTATATCACTGAAGTTACAAATAAAAATATTTTAAAACATTTAGATAATTCAGGTGAAAGTAAGTTATTCATATTAAATTATATGAGTAATTTATCTGATATTTTTATTACAAAATCTTGAGATAGTTGCTTCTCACCACATGCCATCTGGCTCTTGGAGGCCACGGAGCCCAGAATGACTGGGAAAGGCACTCAACTGGGAAGAAGGAAAGTAATGCTGGAGGAAGGAACCCAAGGCATTCCTCCTCTGGGAGGAAGGTCAAACCAGAAGAATGTTTAAGGCAACCTGATAAACTCAATCCTTGGCCCACTTCAGAAGCACTCATGAACATCTGAGGAAAATCTTGAGGCAACTGTCTACCAACTTCTCCAGAAAAAGACACAACTGTTTCTGCTTTAGTAACATTTGTCTCCTTGTTAGGCAGACTCAATGGCCATTTGTTTGATGCATGATTCACTGGTGAACTTTACAGAGACAATCTGTCTTTAAGATAAAAGGAAGCACTTGACCTTTTAGTCAATCAACAATCAACAAATTACTCGAAGTTGACATGGTTCAGAGGTTTAATCACTGCTAGAGTCAGCCTGGCTTTGCATGGTGAGTGAGGTGGGGGTTTAGACATTGAGGAAATAAGGAAGAATTTGGAGTAAGGAAGAAGTAAGTTCACGGAGACAGGGGGAGAAAGGACTTCTCTAGCATTTTCTTTCCTTGACTAATCTAAATTCCTAATTTCCCTAACAGGATGTCTAGCAAAATGTTCCTGTCAACTGAGACCGGGCCCTTACGGAGCAATAAAAGAAGATTCTTCCAATAGGAATATGATGGTATATTTTGGAGATGATCAAGGAATGAGAAACAATAAATGGCGATGTTGTTTAGCACCCATTATTTCACAACTTATGAGTCAATGTTTGTGCAGAGTTCTGAGTTCATAGCGTTAAAGTATATAGAAATAATTACCATTAATTATAAAGCTTTGCAGTCCTCACTGTCAAGGCTATATTTACAGAAGCAGTCTTAACATCTCTCTGAAGAGCTATTAGCCAAACTGACTGAAGAGGAGCATCCTGACAGCACTATAATTCATCAATCACAGCATCATCTTGACATTGTGAAGCACATGGGGTGGCACTGGAATAACACGTACTGGACTACAATTGCATATTCTCTTCTTTCTCATCAAAGATGTGGGGAATTTATCTTTATTAACTCAGTTTCTGTTTTGATACAATGACAATAATAATAGCATACTTTCTTTTTTTAATAATAATTACTATTTATTAAGCTCTATGTGCATTATCTCAATTCACAAAACACCCCCATCAGATACGTACTATTGCTTTTTTTCTCCCACCGTGGAATATATTTTTAATTATTACTATACTTTAAGTTATAGGGTACATGTGCACAACGTGCAGGTTTGTTACCTATGTATACATGTGCCATGTTGGTGTGCTGCACCCGTTAACTCATCATTTACATTAGGTATATCTCCTAATGCCATCCCTCCCCCCTCCCCCAACCCCACAACAGGCCCCAGTGTGTGATTTGCCCCACCCTGTGTTCAAGTGTTCTCATTGTTCAGTTCCCACTTATGAGTGAGAACATGCAGTGATTGGTTTTCTGTCCTTGCGATAGTTTGCTCAGAATGATGGTTTCCAGCTTCATTCATGTTCCTACAAAGGACACAAACTCATTCTTTTTTATGACTGCATAGTATTCCATGGTATATACGTGCCACATTTTCTTAATCCAGTCTATCATTGATGGACATTTGGGTTGGTTCCAAGTCTTTGCTATTGTGAATAGTTCTGCAATAAACATATATGTGCATGTGTCTTTATAGCAGCATGATTTATAATCCTTTCAGTATATGCCCAGTAATGGGATGGCTGGGTCAAATGATATTTCTAGTTCTAGATCCTTGAGGAAGGCCACACTGTCTTCCACGATCGTTGAACTAGTTTACCATCCAACCAACAGTGTAAAAGCATTCCTATTTCTCCACATCCTCTCCAGCAACTATTGTTTCCTGACTTTTTAATGATCGCCATTCTAACTGGTGTGAGATGGTATCTCATTGTGGTTTTGATTTGCATTTCTCTGATGGCCAGTGATGAGCATTTTTTCATGTGTCTGTTGGCTGCATAAATGTCTTCTTTTGAGAAGTGTCTGATCATATCCTTTGCCCACTTGTTGATGGGGTTGTTTGATTTTTTCTTGTAAATTTGTTTAAGTTCTTTGTGGATTCTGGATATTAGCCATTTGTCAGAGGGGTAGATTTTAAAAATGTTCTCCCATTCTGTAGGTTGACTGCTCATTCTGATGGTAGTTGCTTGTGCTGTGCAGAAGCTCTTTAGTTTAATTAGATCCCATTTGTCAATTTTGGCTTTTATTGCCATTGTTTTTGGTGTTTTAGTCATGAAGTCCTTGTCCATGCCTATGTCCTGAATGGTATCGCCTGGATTTTCTTCTAGGGTTTTTGTGGTTTTAGGTCTAACATTTAAGTCTTTAATTCATCTTGAATTAATTTTTGTATAAGGTGTAAAGAAGAGATCCAGTGTCAGCTTTCTACATATGGCTAGCCAGTTTTCCCCTCACCATTTATTAAATAGGGAATCCTTTTCCCATTTCTTGTTTTTGTCAGATTTGTCAAAGATCAGATGGTTGTATATGTGTGGTATTATTTCTGAGGGCTCTATTCTGTTCCATTGGTCTCTATCTCTGTTTTGGTACCAGTACCATGCTGTTTTGATTACTGTAGCCTTGTAGTATAGTTTAAAGTCAGGTAGCGTGAAACCTTCAGCTTTGTTCTTTTGGCTTAGGATTGTCTTGGCAATATGGTCTCTTTTTTGGTTCCATATGAACTTTTAAGTAGTTTTTTCCAATTCTGTGAAGAAAGTCATTGTTAGCTTGATGGGGATGGCATTGAATCTATAAATTACCTTGGGCAGTATGGCCATTTTCACGATATTGATTCTTCCTATCCATGAGCATGGAATGTTCCTCCATTTGTTTGTATCCTCTTTTATTTCACTGAGTGGTGGTTTGTAGTTCTCCTTGAAGAGGTCCTTAACATCCCTTGTAAGTTGGATTCCTAGGTATTTTGTTCTCTTTGAAGCAATTGTGAATGGGAGTTCACTCATGATTTGACTCTCTGTTATTGGTATAGGAATGCTTGTGAGTTTTGCACATTGATTTTGTATGCTGAGACTTTGCTGAAGTTGCTTATCAGCTTAAGGAGATTTTGGGCTGAGATGATGGGTTTTCTAAATATACAATCATGTCATCTGCAAACAGGGATAATTTGACTTCCTCTTTTCCTAATTGAATACACTTTATTTCTTTCTCTTGCCTGATTGCCTGGGCCAGAGCTTCCAACACTATGTTGAATGGAAGTGGTGAGAGAGGGCATCCCTGTCTTGTGCCAGTTTTCAAAGGGAATGCTTCCAGTTTTTGCCCATTCAGTATGATACTGGCTGTGGGTTTGTCATAAATAGCTCTCATTATTTTGAGATAGGTCCCATCAATACCTACTTTATTTAGAATTTTTAGCATGAAGGCTGTTGAATTTTGTCAAAGGCCTTTTCTGCATCTATTGAGATAATCATGTGGTTTTTGTCTTTGGTTCTGTTTATGTGATGGATTACATTTATTGATTTGCATATGTTGAACCAGTCTTGCATCCCATGGATGAAGCCCACTTGATCATGGTGGATAAGCTTTTTGATGTGCTGCTGGATTTGGTTGGCAGTATTTTATTGAGGATTTTTGCATCAACGTTCATCAGGGATATTGGTCTAAAATTCTCCTTTTTTGTTGTGTGTCTGCCAGGCTTTGGTATCAGGATGGTGTTTGTCTCATAAAATGAATTAGGGAGAATTCCCTTTTTTTCTATTGATTGGAATAGTTTCAGAAGGAATCGTACCAGCTCCTCTTTGTACCTCTGGTAGAATTCTGCTGTGAATCCATCTGGTCCTGGACTTTTTTTAATTGGTAGGCTATTAATGCCTCAATTTCAGAGCTTGTTATTGATCTATTCAGGGATTCAACTTCTTCCTGGTTTAGTCTTGGGAGGGTGTATGTGTCCAGGAATTTATCCATTTCTTCTAGATTTTCTAGTTTATTTGCATAGAGGTGTTTATAGTATTCTCTGATGATAGTTTGTATTTCTGTGGGATTGGTGGTGATATCCCCCTTATCATTTTTTATTGTGTCTATTGGATTCTTCTCTCTTTTCTTCTTTATTAGTCTTGCTAGTGGTCTATCAATTTTGTTGATCTTTTCAAAAAACAAGTTCCTGGATTCATTGATTTTTTGAAGGGTTTTTTGTGTCTCTGTCTCCTTCAGTTCTGCTCTGCTCTTAGTTATTTCTTGCCTTCTGCTAGCTTTTGAATGTGTTTGCTCTTGCTTCCCTAGTTCATTTCATTGTGATGTTAGGGTGTCAACTTTAGATCTTTCCTGCTTTCTCTTGTGGGCATTTAGTGCTATAAATTTCCCTCTACACACTGCTTTAAATGTGTCCCAGAGATTCTGGTATGTTGTGTCTTTGTTCTCATTGGTTTCAAAGAACATCTGAATTTCTGCCTTCATTTTGTTATGTACCCAGTAGTCATTGTTCAGTTTTCATGTAGTTGAGCGGTTTTGAGTGAGTTTCTTAATCCTGAGTTCTAGTTTGATTGCACTGTGGTCTGAGAGACAGTTTGTTATAATTTCTGTTATTTTACATTTGCTGAGGAGTGCTTTATTTCCAACTATGTGGTCAATTTTGGAATAAGTGTGATGTGGTGCTGAGAAGTATGTATATTCTGTTGATTTGGGGTGGAGAGTTCTGTAGATGTCTATTAGGTCCACTTGGTGCAGAGCTGAGTTCAATTCCTGGATATCCTTGTTAGCTTTCTATCTCGTTGATCTATCTAATGTTGACCGTGGGGTGTTAAAGTCTCCCATTATTATTGTGTGGGAGTCTAAGTCTCTTTCTAGGTCTCTAAGGACTTGCTTTATGAATCTGGGTGCTCCTGTATTGGGTGCATATATATTTAGGATAGTTGGCTCTTCTTGTGGAATTGATCCCTTTACCCATTATGTAATGGCCTTCTTTGTCTCTTTTGATCTTTGTTGGTTTAAAGTCTGTTTTATCAGAGACCAGGATTGCAACCCCTGCTTTTTTTTGTTTTCCATTTGCTTGGTAGCTGGTCCTCCATCCCTTTATTTTGAGCCTATGTGTGTCTCTGCACATGAGATGGGTCTCCTGAATACAGCACACTGATGGATCTTGACTCTTTATCCAATTTGCCAGTCTGTGTCTTTTAATTGGAGCATTTAGCCCATTTGCATTTAAGGTTAATATTGTTATGTGTGAATTTGATCCTGTCATTATGATGTTAACTGGTTATTTTGCTTGTTAGTTGATGCAGTTTCTTCCTAGCATTGATGGTCTTTACAACTTGGCATGTTTTTGCAGTGGCTGGTACTGGTTGTTCCTTTCCACGTTTAGTGCTTCCTTCAGGAGCTCTTGTAAGGCAGGCCTGGTGGTGACAAAATCTCTCAGCATTTATTTGTCTGTAAAGTATTTTATTTCTCCTTCACTTATGAAGCTTAGTTTGGCTGGATATGAAATTCTGGGTTGAAAATTCTTTTCTTTCAGAATGTTGAATACTGGCCCCCACTCTCTTCTGACTTGTAGAGTTTCTGCCGAAAGATCCGCTGTTGGTCTGATGGGCTTCCCTTTGTGGGTAACCCGACATTTCTCTCTAGCTGCCCTTAACATTTTTTCCTTCATTTCAACTTTGGTGAGTCTGACAATTATGTGTCTTGGAGTTGTTCTTCTCGAGGAGTATCTTTGTGGCATTCTCTGTATTTCCTGAATTTGAATGTTGGCCTGCCTTGCTAGATTGGGGAAGTTCTCCTGGATAATATCCTGCAGAGTGTTTTCCAACTTGGTTCCATTCTCCTGTTCACTTTCAGGTATACCAATCAGACGTAGATTTGGTCTTTTCACATAGTCCCATATTTCTTGGAGGCTTTGTTCATGTCTTTTTACTCTTTGTTTCTCTAAACTTCTCTTCTTGCTTCTTTTCATTCATTTGATCTTGAATCACTGATACCCTTTCTTCCTCTTGATCAAATCAGCTACTGAAGCTTGTGCATGCATCACGTAGTTCTCTTGCAATAGTTTTCAGCTCCATCAGGTCATTTAAGGACTTCTCTACACTGTTTATTCTAGTTAGCCATCCATCTAATCTTTTTTTCAAGGTTTTTAGCTTCTTTGCGATGGGTTTGAACATCCTCCTTTAGCTCGGAGAAGTTTGTTATTACCGATCGTCTGAAGCCTTCTTCTCTACACTCGTGATAGTCATTCTCCGTCAAGCTTTGTTCCCTTGCTGGCGAGGATCTGCGTTCCTTTGGAGAAGAGGCACTCTGATTTTTCGAATTTTCAGCTTTTCTGCTCTGGTTTCTCCCCATCTTTGCGGTTTTATCTACCTTTGGTCTTTGATGATAGTTATGTACAGATGGGATTTTGATGTGGATGTCCTTTCTGTTTGTTAGTTTTCCTTCTAACAGTCAGGACCCTCAGCTGCAAGTCTGTTGGAGTTTGCTGGAGGTCCACTCCAGACCCTGTTTGCCTGGGTTTCACCAGTGGAGGCTGCAGAACAGCAAATATTGCGGAACAGCAGATGTCGCTGCCTAATCCTTCCTCTGGAAGCTTCATCTCAGTGGGGCACCCAGCTGTATGAGGTGTCAGTCAGCCCCTACTGGGAGGTGTCTCACAGTTAGGCTACTTGGGGGTCAGGGACCCACTTGAGGAGGTAGTCTGTCCATTCTCAGATCTCAAACTCCATGCTGGGAGAACCACTACTCTCTTCAAAGCTGTCAGACAGGGACGTTTAAGTCTGCAGAAGTTTCTGCTGCCTTTTGTTCAGCTATGCTCTGTTCCCAGAGGTGGAGTCTACAGAGGCAGGCAGGCCTCCTTGAGCTGCGGTGGGCTTCACCCAGTTCGAGCTTCCCAGCTGCTTTATTTACCTACTCAAGCTTCAGCAATGGCAGACGCCCCTTCCCCAGCCTCACTGCTGCCTTGCAGTTTGATCTCAGACTGCTGTGCTAGCAGAGAGCGAGGCTCCATGGGTGTGGGACCCTCCAAGCCAGACGCGGGATATAATCTCCTGGTGTGCCGTTTGCTAAGGCTGTTGGAAAAGCACAGTATTAGGGTGGGAGTGTCCTGATTTTCCAGGTACTGTCTGTCATGGCTTCCCTTTGCTAGGAAAGGGAATTCCCTGACCCCTTGCACTTCCTGGGTGAGGCCATGCCCCGCCCTGCTGTGTGGCCTGCACTCCCTGTCTGACAAGCCCCAGTGAGATGAACCCAGTACCTCAGTTTGAAATGCAGAAATCACCTGTCTTCTGTGTCACTCACGCTGGGAGCTGCAGACTGGAGCTGTTCCTATTTGGCCATCTTGGAACCTCCCCCATAGCATACTTTCAAGATTGCTATAAGGATTAAAAAAAAGCATATGTAAGATTCATATCAAAGCACTAGCGCATATTAGAGTTACAATAAATTGTAATTGTTGCAATGGAGGCCACAGGTGTCCCATAAAAAAAAAAAAACCTACCTTGCAGCTACTCTGTGTTCTCTTACTCTTCCTTCTAAATTTATTGGCTCTATGCTAATATTTTCAGGTTACCTTTTTGCTTTGTACTTTATTTTTACCCGTCTGTCCATTTGAAGAAAAATTGGGCTCCCTTTTCTGCTTGATTTTTTTTCATCAAAGCTTCATCCTCAATGCTATACATTATACCTCCCCCTGGCTCCATGATCTGCAGTTGGTGGGCCAGTACAACCCAACCCCTACATGTAGGTTAGGTTGGGTAGTCAGGAGGCATCAGTGAAGACTGTGGATAATCTAGGGTCTGAGCTACACCCTAGCACAGTTGAAATTGTGTTCTAAATTTCATATAGAACATCAAGTTGTGATCTGCATTTGCTATTACCATGCCATTCTCTCTTATTTCAATATTTTGACATAGAATTTCAGTGTTCCAAGAATGAATGATGTCACTTTTGGGTACAAAAGAAGTCAGCTTAATTTTTTTTTTTTTTTTTTGAGACAGAGTCTGGCTCTGTTGCCCAAGCTGGAGTGCAGTGGCACAATCTCGGCTCACTGCAAGCTCCGTCTCCCTGGTTCATGCCATTCTCCTGCCCCAGCCTTCTGAGTAGCTGGGACTACAGGCACCCACTACCATGCCCAGTTAATTTTTTGTATTTTTTTTTTTTAGTAGAGACGGGGTTTCACCATATTAGCCAGGATGGTCTTGATCTCCAAAGTCAGCTTAATTTTTATTAACAACCTGCTGTGTTGATTATTTTCTGATGATATGATAGTACCTTGATGTTACTGTTAGATTCAGAGACTCTTATATCAGTAGCATTATGAGTCTAATTGTTTTAAAATTGTGATTTGTGGAGTCCAGAAGATCCAAAGAGACATTTCAGGGCTCATCTAAGGGAATCTGTAAGGGAAAGCCAAGTCAGAACTCAGACTGCTTTGCTCCAACAAGAGCATTCCACTTCTATTGATTTTAAATTCACAGTGGGTTCAAGAAAAGATTTTGTGTAGAAAATAAACAAGTATTACACATTTTGAAAAACAAACAAACTTTGAAAACTCTCTATTTTACATATGAAGAACTATAATCTAGTCTATAAGCATACCCAATATTACACTGTTTATCTTTAAACTATTCATGTATTTAGCTCAGCAAATATTTACTGAATTCTACTCAGGGAAGGTGTGGTCATGCATGAGGATGATACAGAGGTAAAGTCCTGCTTTTGGAGAGGAGACAGCTTAGGGAAGCAGAGATTGCTGGCTCAATATTACTCCTCCCTTCTTCCTTTCTAGCAGAATCAACTCTGGGTTTCCTTTAGATAAGATAAAAATAAGCCTCCAACATGTTTAAGCCACTATTACTATATTTTTAATATTAGGCCAAATCTGATCCTAATGGGCACAAACAAAATGAACAGATAATTTCAAGGGTCTGATAAAGGTGAGAATAGAATTTTTAGGGAAGTTTGAGGCCCAAAGTTAACTCAGGCACTAGGATATGGAAAAGTTTTTTATAAGAGGTGATGTCAAAATTGAATCTTTTAAAATAAGTTAGATTTAGCCAAGCAAAGAGAGTACAGTTCAATGAAAAGGAGTCACCCTCTGTAAAATATTTGAAGGGATTTATTCTGAGCCAAATATGGGTGACCAAGGCCTGAGGCACAGTCACAAGAGGTCCTGAAAACGTGTCCTCTTGGGTTAGGTTGGGTAGTTGGGTTATAGCTTGATTTGATACAATTTAGGAAGACATACATTTCAGACAAAGACATAAATTAATACATGTAATGTTTATACTAGTTTGGTCCAGAAGGGTGGGGGCTTCCAAGTCATAGGTGGATTCAAAGATTTTCTCATTGGCAATTGGTTGAAAGAGTTAAGCTATTATCTAAAGACCTGGAATCAACAGAAAGGAGTGTCTAAGTTAAGATAGGGGATTATGGAGGCCAAGATTCTTATTATGTAGATGAAGCCTCCAGGTTCAGAAAGAATAGATGGTAAATTTTTCTTATCAGACCTAAAACAATGCCAGATTCTTACTTAATCTCTACTGGATCAGGAAAAGATCTGGAAAGGGAATGCAATTCTCTACAGAATGTAGATTATCTCTATGAGAGACAGCTTTGCAGAGCCATTTCAAAATATGTCAAAGAAATCTTTTTTGGGGTAAATGCTTTGATTTCTTTCAGGGCCTGTTATTTGTCCCGTGATGCTATAGGACAGTCAGGTGGAAATTTGTTATCTTATTGCTACAAAGAGTCTGTTTGATAGTCACAAGATCTCTATTTTGATGTTAAAGCTGGTCAATTGTACCTGAATTCCAGAGAGGAGACTGTAATGAGGCATGTCTGACCCCCTGCTTCCCATCATGGCCTGAACTTGTTTTTCAGATTTACTTTGGAATCTACTTGGCTGAGAGGAGGGGTCCATTCAGTCAGTTGAAGGGCTTATAATTTTATTTTTGATTTACAATAGAAAGAGGGCATTGGGAATGAAGAACAGTGTATGCAGAACCTAGGGGGTGGGGCATAGGGAGAAAACCCAGTACATTCTGTGAACATAAAGTATCACAGTGAAAATAGAGCAATGGGTGCCTGGATGGGGGAGGGGCATAGCAGGAGAGGGAATTATAAAGAGTTCTGTCTGACTAGAAAGGTAGGCCACTAACAGATTTTAAGCAGAGGAGTATAATGGTAATATTTGAATTTTAGATACATTATTATAGGTTGAAGTATTGGAAGAAGAGAAAGAAGACCAATTAGGAGACTGTTTCAATAACACTGATGAAAGTAGTAGCCAAAACAAAAAAAAAATATTAAGAAAGGGGAGATATTTTAAGAATGTCATCATTGATCAAATTAGATGGAGAAATATGAATATGTGAGGAGGAGGGAATAATCAGGACTGTTGTCCAGGTTCCTAGGTGGATAATTCCTTTGGCTTATATCCCAGGAAGAGGAACAAATTTGCTGTCTTCAAACATCACTAAAAGGTGGGTTGGATCTGCATAGGGAACACTTGTAAACACTAGTCATCCAAGATACGCTCCTGAGCCTGATTAGCTCATTCTTCCCATGATTTAGCTGTCTCATTTACTCTTGGTTCATCTTATTTTATGATGACTGCCCATTGATCTTCATATGAGATGGAATGCATTGTATAACTTTCTAAATCTAAATATGCTTTATCCTTTAATATAAAACATCTCTTCAGACTTGTTCAATATGAAAGGCATATGATACAACTAAGGAAAACACACATGCTTCCATAATAATTCTGCTCTTACCTGTCACTAATGATTTTTTCCTTCTTCTAGTTGAATATTGGAAAACTTAAAGAACACTTTGCATAATCAGAACACACTAATCTAGTTGTCCAAATCTCATGCCTGACTTATTGAGCTCAACTATTTATACACTTTCTCTGCAATACACATTCTTTTCTATCCAAGAGTGGATGCTGGGGAAACTTGATTTAACCTTAATCATTGTAATAATATCATATTCAAGAAAGAACTTCTAGTAGAGTCTATATTGCGAAAGTGAAATAATATAAGATTACTTTGGATGTAATCAAAATGAACAATAATAAAATTAACTAACTAATAGTAGCTACAACCAAACAATTATTGTACCCACAGTTCTGGAACCAAAGGAAAGTAGGTCATCTGGTAATAAATATAAAGGGATCTTAATATGTTTTGCTTTTTTGTTCATTTCTTCAACAAATATGTATTAAGCATCTATTAAATTCTCATAAAGCTGACAGGGACAGATAATCACATAAGTACATTACAATTGATGCCAAGTGCTCTTCAAGAAATGTCTGATATATTGCCAGGCTAGAACAGAGAGACCTGATTTAGATTGACGAGGGGCCATGCACTAGTTAGAGTTAAAGGAATTCATTGCCGAGTATTAAATGGCTTTCAGAATGAGTAGAAAAAGCCACAGACCCTACAATGAGCTGTCATGAATGGTTCTTAAAGCCACACCACACAACTAGATAATTAAGGAAACTACTACTCCTGCCAGAATCAGAGCTGGTATTCTTGCTGCTGACCCCAGAACTACATCCCCTCTGCTGAGATCTGCACCATAAAAATGAATGGCTTAAACTCTGCTTTTCTCTCCAGTTAACTGAGTTCTGAATTCAAATCACTAATGAGAGCCTTTATTTGGTAAACATAAGTCACTTTCAGAACCTCAGCAGCACAAAAGTATGGGAGACACAGTTTAGAGCTTTTCAGTTCTTCAGTTCAGGAGGCCACAGCAAAGGAGGCTGGAAGAGGTGCTGAGCAAGAGAACGTATAATATCTGCCACAGGTGTAAGGGAAGAGCTCTTAATGGAAGAGCTAACACTTAAGGGAGGAGAGTTGGGCCACATGAAGGGTGTGAAGAAGAGAATCACAGGGAGAGAGATCAGTGTATGTGTAGATCCTGAGGTGAGGAGTGCTTGGCCCATGGAGCCCTTGTAAGAATACCAGTGAGGCTGGAGGTCAATGAGTAAGGGACCCGGCCCAATCCGGAACATGCAGAAACTTGTAGGCCATGCAAACAATTTAAATTTTTTTTCTAAATAATATTAAAAGCTTTTTAAGGGTTTTAAGCAGAGAATTATTATGGTTATATTAACACTGTTAAAGATAACTCTAGCTGCTCTGTATAGAATGGATTTTAGAGGGTATCCAGATTAAAGTCAGAGAAAGCTTCAGGAGGCTTCTATTGTAGACCTGGTGAGTGGTTTTGGTGGAGATGGAGTGAAATGAACTGATTCAAATAACCACACAGAGAGAGAATCAATAGGACCTGGAGGAAACAGAGAGGAAACAGAAAATGTACTGCAATTTATTATCAGTAAAAACTAATTACTATTATGTAATACCAATGCACTCCCCTCCTGCCAAAAGGATCATTCTTACCTCAATATTGTTTTAAAAAAAGGAGTAAACACAGCTCATTTATGGCTTGGCTATGGTCACAGTGAATATCATTTTTTAATCAGATGGTGTCTTGATTCTGTGTGGTCTTGTTTCTTCAGTTCACCCTTTGTTGTTTTTCTTCTGATGTGCTGTGTCTACTGTATATTCGAATAATTTATTCTACCTCATAACCTTTGTACTCAGAAGAACAACTCAAGGCCTTCAGTTTTATTACATTACTATAGATGCAGAAAAGAAGAGACAGTGATAAAAAGAAAGAATGAGAACAGCTGGGCTAAGTGTAAAAGATGGATGAAGTACTGCAGGTCATAGAGAAATCAGTGAAGGGCTGAGGGAATTTGACAGAAACAACGAAGAAGGATGGCATGCAGTATTAAAGAACCAGGGCTCCATTTTGAGAAGGAACAGCAAAGTCGCACTTAAATGAGCATGTTTCATACTCCAATGCATGATATTTCTATGCAAGACCTTGTTTGTGCATTTTTTAACTACCTAATAAACATTTCTTATGCTTGCCTTCCTTTTTGTGAGGAGGTGGCATAGATCATCTAGTGAGATATAAATAAGGACATAGGAAGCTGGACATTTTACACAAGAGGCCCTCTCACAGGTAAGGAAAAAGAGGTCATTAATTTTGAAATACAAAAAAGAAATGAGAACATCAAAGCAATGCAAAGGAGTTAATAGAAGAAAAATAAAATTGTCTGACAAATTTCTGTCTTCTACCTCCTCTCTGACAATTGTTTCCTTAAAATCTTAAAATGTGCTTTCATTTCTCATCATTCTTCTGAAACTATTTTAGAAGTCCCTAGTGGCCTCTAAATTTATAAATACTAAGGCCTTTTTTATCATAATTTTCTATTCCACTTAAAAATGAAGCTATGTAGACATACCACTTCTTTCCCAAAGTTTAAGTACTTCACTATTAATTACTAATCATAAAAGTAGGACATAGTCATTTTTTAAGAAAAGCAAAAGAAAACAATGCTAAGAAGAAATAAAAATTATCCAAATTGACAGCTCAGGGTAAAAAACTAAAAACTATTAAATGGTTATGCTTCTCGACCTCTAGTATATCTTTCTGTGAATATACACTCACACATAGAAAAGAATATGCAGTTTTATGTAAATGCACTGTCCATACTCTTTCCTTCCCTGCTATTTTTCACTCAACAAGGCCAATAGTTACACCATCAATTTTAATGATAGGTTATTTTAGTTTTTTCTACTTTTTCACTAAAATGTTTCAGAACATGAGGAAAAAAGAAAATCTTTTAAATTCTTTGATTGGAGACATCAGAATGCTGATGTCAAAACTGACAGAATCCACCAAAAAAACCATGCACCCTCCTTATATATGAGTGTTGATATACTTACGAGATTGTTTTCTTGGTTTTATCCATAGTGGTTGGGTTGTTAGACTTAAAAAGGATGTGTTTGATACATGTTTTAAAGGCTGTAAGAAAAACTGGTCAAATGTCTGTCTCAACTAAGTGGGTCTAGATCTAAGTTTCCAAAACCCTACAAATACTGAGTTTTGTCATGTATTTCATACTTAAGACACTCATTGCTATTTTCATTTATTTGATTACTACAAAGTAGAATATCCTTTCACATGTTTATTGATCATTTACACTTTTCCTTTGTGATATACTTTTCAACTCCTTTGCCCTTTTTCCTATCCAGGTGTGTATTATTTGAATTTTATTTTTAATCTATTTATCAAAATTGCAGAATTAACTCTCCATCTGTCATATAAATTGCAAATACTTTTCCTAGTTCCTGAGGTTATCTTCAAACTCATTTATTGTATTTTGGCAGGCAAAGTTCTCCATTCTTTCCTTTCCCTCTCTCTCACTTTCTCTCTTCTCTTCCTTTTTGTAACATAATTAGAAGCTTAGAAAGAACTTCCCAAACAAGATATAATACAAATTTTGCCTTATGCTTATTTTAATAATTTTAGAATTGGATTTCCTACGTTTAAATATTTGATCCACTCAGAATTTGTTTTGGATTTTTTATTATTCCCAATAGCTATCCAGTTATTAGATCACCTTTTTTATCATTTTTTTTTTTTTTTTTGCTAATGAATCTCCGCTCCCCCATCCAGGCACTCAATTTTAGATATCACATTCATTAGACTATATTCTAATACATATGGGTTTAGTCCATGGTTTCCCTGGAATAATCATCCTTTCCATTAATATTAGTCTCTTCCTGAACCATTCAGTTATTTTTATAAATATTCTTTTATAATACATTTTACTATATAAAAGCATATATCTCTTTACTTTTTCTCACGAGAATTCTTTGGATATTCTTCAACTGAAATGTAGAATCATTTTTATCAAATTAAGAAAAAAATCCTATTGGTGCTTTGATTGAAATTTGTATGTTTATAATCATTTTAGGGAGAATTGACACCTTTAGAATATTTAGTGTTTGACTTTAAGACTAAGTACTGTCTTCTTGTTTTCTTTTTGACAGTAGTTTTAGAGTCTTCCTCAAAGTAGTTCTATGTATTTCTAAGTTTATAATTATCTAGATGATTTAATATTTTTAATACTGTAGCTTATATACTTTTATTATATTCCTAATAAATTGTCTTTTATTTAAAAAGCTATATTTGTGTATATTCATTTTGTTATTTTTCAAGAAAGCATATTTAACATTTTATCTGGAAGAGTGATCACTTCTTTTGTTTAAGTGACATATTTATTTTCTAATCCAATTTTCATGGCTAGCATGACAATGATGCTCTTTAATGGAACTTTTCTGGTACAGAATTTTAATACTAATAATGACAGAAAAGTCTTTCACAGTATCCAATAGATGTGATAAGAAAAATGATCCCAGATTTTTAAGTTTTTACATTAAATTAAACTGAACAAGTTTCTTTTATACAGTGTCTCAGAGCTTTTATTGTGTTTTTTATATTTTATCAGTTTTAAGCACACCATTTTAAGTGGATAATTTCTTAAGTTTATTTGACCACCTTTCCTAGAATTAGCCTTCTTAGATACACAGTTAATCGCAACACAAACTGTTAGTTTTTTGTATAGAATACATACAACACATGTGTGTGTCAGGCACCAGTCCACATAATCCATGTAGTTTTATTCTACTAAACCTTTTTTTAACATTGTCGTTTTTAATCAGAGTGTTTTAAATTGAGTGTTACCAAATACTTCTTGGGAAATATATGGGGATGATTGTTGTCTTAGTTTGTTACTGCTGCTATAACAAAATACCTTTGACTGGGTAATTTACAAATAATGAAAATTTATTTCTCACAGTTCTGGAGGCTGGGGAGTTCAAGATCGATGCAAGAGCCAATTCAGTGGCTGGTAAGGGCTTTCTCTCTACCTCACATGGCAGGAAAGAGAGCCAGGATGTGCCCTTTAAACTCTTTTATAATGGCACTAATTCCTTCATGAAAGTGGAGCCCTCATTGCTTTGTTAACAAAAAAACAAAACTCTGTGAAATATTTTAAAGAGGTTTATTCTGAGCCAATATTAGTGACCATAGCCCAGAGAAAACACAAATCTAAGAAGCCTTGAGTAAGTGGTCCCAAGGTGGTTAGGTTAGTTTGATTTTACACATTTTGGGGAGACAGGAGTTACAGTTGTAGAAGGACAAGCCGCAGACAAAACCCCTCAGACACCAAGTTGAAGAAGGAAGGGCTATATTCGGCCAGGAGCTTTGGCAAGACTCACGTCTCCAAAAACTGAGCTCCCCGAGTTAGCAATTCCTGTCCCTTTTAAGGGCTTACAACTCTAAGGAGATCCGCGTGAGAGGGTCGTGATTGATTGAGCAAGCAGGGGTTACGTAACTGGGGGCTGCGTGCACCGGTAATCAGAACAGAACAGAGCAGGACGAGCATTTTCACAGTGCTTTTCCATACAATGTCTGGAATCTATAGATAACATAACTGGTTAGGTCAGGGGTCGATCGTTAACCAGGCCCAGGGCATGGCACCAGGCTGCCTGCCTGTGGATTTCATTTCTGCCTTTTAGTTTTTACTTCTTCTTTCTTTGGAGGCAGAAATTGGGCATAAGACAATATAAGGGGTGGTCTCCTCCCTTACAGTCAAAACATAGATTAATACATGGAAGGTATACATGGGTTCAGGCTGAAAAGGCAAGACATATCAAAGTGGGGGCTTACAAGTCATAGGTGGATTTTAGGGATTCTTTTGTTGACAGTTGTTTGAGAGCGGCCATTGTCTAAAGACCTGAAGTCAGTAGAAAGGAATGCTTGAGTTAAGACAAGAGGATTTTAGGGGGCCAAGGCCCTTGCTATGTAGATGAAGGCTCATAGGTAACAGCCTTCAGAGAGAATAAGTGGAAAATATCTCTATTCAGACTTTTAAAGGTGTCAGACTTTCAGTTAGTCTCTTCTAGATCTCCAGAAGTCCTGGAAAGGGAAGGCCTGGCTATATTAATAGAGATTCTCTATAGATGCAAATTACCCCCCACAAGACAGCTTTGTAGGGTCATTTAAAAATATATCAAAGAAATATATTTTAGGGTAAAATATTTTTATTTCCTTCAGCATCTGCTATCTGTCATGTGATGTGATAACAGAGTCAGGTTGGAAAGTAAACTACATTATACCAGGTTACGTAAAACAAACAAAAAAAACACTTATGGTTTTATGGTTTGTAGGGTGTGACTTTAACCCTGGACTTGCATGGCCTTAGGTCTTGTTTATAATTTGCTGTCTTATTGCCACAAAGAGGCTGTTTTGTTCGTTTTATTATGCTTTCCATTTTAACCTTAATGCTAAACTCCAAAAAGGAGAGGATATAACAAGGCGTGTCTGACTTTCCTTCCCACCATCATGGCCAGGAATTCAGTTTTTCAGGTTTCTTTGGGTTCGTGTTGGCCAAGAGGGAGTCCATTCAGTTGGTTGGGGGCTTAGTATTTTATTTTTGGTTTACAACTTAACCACTTCTTTTAAAAGTGATTAAAAGGCTGCACCTTTTAATTCTATCGTACTGGATATTAGGTGCCAACATATGAATTCTAAGGGGACACCACATTCAGACCTTAGCAATCGTATTGCCTTCACTCATTATAATAACAGTCATTTGTAGTGACAGATTGCCTAATAATACATAAACTAGCATTCTTGGAATGAGTTTTTGATTATGGATTTGTAAGATTTTTCATGTATTCTTGAATTCTAATTGCTAATATTTTAGTTAGGTACTTACATCAATATACATAAGCAGGACTGGACAAAAATTTTGTCCCTTTTAGTTCTCACTGTAAAATGTTGCTTTTAGGGTTTGGCTGACTTCATTCAAAACATTATGAAGACTGCTTCCTTTCTTTACGGTCTTGAATAGTTAAAATCACTTAGAGGTTATTGTGGCTTGGAGCCGTAAAACAAATTAGAGGATGGAAGTTAGAGGATAATTATTTTATAATTTTCCTTTTTATTCTTGACTCAAGTTTTGTAATTTATGTTTTCCTAGAATAATGTGTGTGAAGCATATTTTCATCTCTTTTATGTCTTTTCTAATATGGTATAACTTTGTTATTTTTGTTTCAACTCATGCTTTGGGTATGTGTTGGCATTTCCAATAAACTACTCTTAGATTTCTCATTTTGCTCTTTTTTTTTTTTTTTTTTGATGGTGTCTTGTTCTGTCTCCCAGGCTGGAGTGCAGTGGTGCAATCTTGGCTCACTGAAACCTCTGCCTCCTGAATTCAAGTAATTCTACTGCCTCAGCCTCCTGAGGAGCTGGGATTACAGGTGTGCACCACCTCGCCCAGCTAATTTTTGTATTTTAGTACAGACGGGTTTCACCATGTTGGCCAGGCTGGTCTCAAACTCCTGACCTCAAGTGATCCACCTGCCTCAGCCTCCCAAAGGGCTGAGATTACAGGCATGAGCCACCGTGCCCGGCCATTTTGTTCTTTTTTTAGCCTTCATTTTTTTTCGGCATGGGTTTTTCCTTATGGTGTTTTTCTAGTATTTATTTTGTTGATCATTTTCTATTTTTTCAGTTGAGTACTTGATATACTTTTCTTCTTATTTTGTAATAAAAATGTTCAAAGCTATGGGTATTTCTGAGTACATCTATGGATTCACTACAGGTGGATGATGATTTTTAATAAATTTTTCTATTTCTTTTTGTATTACAATCATGAGATCATTTTTGACCAAATGTTTATTTAGAAAATATTTTTAAAACTTCCAAGCATTTGATATTAATTTTAATTTTATTTTAATTTTCTAATTTATTTTTAGTTTTATTATGCTATGATTTTTAAAAATCTAATTTTACTATTTTTATACATTAAAATTTGTTGATATTTCCTTTCAGGTCTGATACATAGTTAACTTACATGAATGTGTCATAAGCCTTTGGGAAAAAAGTTTATTCTCTTTTGAAGTAGTATAGAGTTAAGTAAATATTAGAGTAAAGTAAGTTATATTAGTTAGAATTTGGTCTTCTTTTTATTTTCACTTTTTTTTCTTGGTCAATAAAAAAAATGGAGATAAATGTTTTAAAGTTCTTTGTTTGCTGTGTCTGTATTTTTCACTGTATTTAGTGTTATTCTTTATTTGATATCCCCCAAACAGACTTTTCTCTCATTTCTTTCTATTCTATTTCTATACTCTTTTCCTTTCAGTGAATGTTAAGACCATGAACCTAGTTCCTCAAACCAAAAATCAAGTTTCCCCTTACAATCCAACAGTAAGTCTTGGTAACTGTATCTCCACACAAATTCCAAATCTATCTACTTCCCACACTTTCTACATACACCATGCTAATCTAAGCCAGCTATCTCTTCTTGCCTGGTTTACTGATAGCAGCTCTCAAGTGATCTTCCTGACTCGACTCCTGCTTCTCACATAAAAGTCAGAATGATTTGTAGAAAATAAGTAAGTTCATTAAACTCTCCTCCCCTCTTTCTTAAAACCTCCAAACAGATTTCCATCCCAGCCTCAATTAGAGTAAGTCCACACTTTAACTCTGCCTGGAAAGTATGTAGATGTGACTTATGCCTTTCTCTTTGGCTACAGTGACCATTTCCCCTTTTCCCAGCACACTTAACTACACTCGCCATCTCTTTCTTCCTCAGACAGGACAAGCTCATTCACATATTAGAGCATCTCTGCTGGATAGTCCCACTTTCTTCCTGTTTTGTGCATGGTTAATAATGCATCCCAGAAATCCCTTGTCTGATAGATGCTTGTATTATATCACCCTACTTTACATCTTCCTACAGCATTCATAATTGTTAATTTCATGTGTCTTTCTGCATCTCCACTAGAAGCTTTTTGATGGCAGAAATATTGACTCACTTTTCAAATTTTCCAGTAACAGAAAAGTGCCTGACACGTGGTAGACACTCAATATTTATGTAATAAATGAAAGCATTAATGTGCAAAAAAGGGACGATTATATTTTGTTATAAATTTTAATGATAAAAAGTAACTTTCTCTCTCCAATTTAATGCTTTTTGCCTTAAATACAAGTTTGTCTTATATTAACATGAGAACTTCTGCTTTTGTACGTGATAGAATAACATAGATGGAGATTTATCTCCTACATTAAACAACTAGAATACCAGACAAAATATATAAAACAATGGTTTTCAAACATTGAACCACAGACAACTTAAGACAGTGATTCCTGAAAAAAAAAAATGTGAATTTAGATCTTTGACAACCCCAGCATCGAGCAAGTTTCTGAGTAGTATCAGAAGGAAGGGAAACCCCAGTAGATCTTGGAAGTTTTGCTGAGTTGAAGAAATCGAGTTTGATCGTCAAGAAAGTAAAGATGGATAGAATTTCTAAGGCAAACAAGCAGTGAGGAAAGAGCTGTGCAGAGAGAGTCCTGATATCTGCTCAAGGGTCCTCCCAAGTCTTTGGCTCAATGTTAATCTGCACCTGTGTAGAAGAAAAAGCCACAGGCTGGGGAAAAATGCTGCTGGAAAGGAATAAACAGAATAATCCCCAGAGCTCACACAGGGCCAAGCATAGTTTGTGTTCCCAATAGCCAGAGTGTAAAGTTTTCCCAATAAATGGGGCATCAATCAAGAGTCCTCGAAAAATCATTACCTCAGTAGTAGCCTCAGACTAGAGGTTCACCAGGACCTGCTTTAACAAATCTTAAAGGCAAGACTTGAAAGGATCAGATTGTTTTCATGTAACTTACTGATTCCAAAACAAGGACCAAAAATATTTAAAGGAATGCAAAAAATCCAACACCAAGTGTTATTAAAAAGAAACAACAACCATAAACACAAAAAATGAGATTCAGCACAAGAGATGGAAAGGGAACAATATGCAGCATCCAATCAAAACTTACCAGGCATGTGAAGAGGGCAGAAAATATGTCCATAGACGGAAGGAAAAAACTCAGTAGAAACAGACCCGAAAATTACACAGATAATAAAATTAAGCAAGAATATTAAAAGAGGTATTGTAAAGCTATAGTCAAGAAGGTAAAGAAAAGCGTGAACATGAAAGAGAAATGAAAGAAATAAGGAGACCCAAATAAAAACTCTAAAGATGAAAAATAAAATACCTAAAATAAATAGTACACTGCAGAGACTAGAAAACTTAACGACATACAATAAAAACTACTAGAATGAAGGATAGAAAAAAGACTGAACAAAAATGAGCGTGCCAGTGAACTATGGGTCAATATCATACAGCCTAACCTATGTGTATTTTCAGTCCTGGAAAAGAACAGAATGAAATATTTAATGAATTAATGACCAGAAAATTTCCAAATATTATGAAAACTACAAACCCAAGATTCAAGAAGTCTGATGAATACCAAGCTGAAGAAACATGAATACTACATCAAAGGATATCATATTCAAATTTTTGAATACAGCATGATTCTTACTAGTTTTCCATTTGATTTTGTTTGGAGCATTGTCTCATTTTATTCCTGAAATACTCAGTTTTGGTATCTCCTTTTTAAAATGCATATAATCAAGTTTCATTTTTTGAATAAGAATGATTATTTATTTATTTTAATTAATTAATTAATTTATTTATTTATTTTGTGATGGAGTCTCGCTCTATTGCCCAGACTGAAATGCAGTGGCACCATCTAGGCTCACTGCAACCTCTGCCTCATGGGTTCAAGCAATTCTCTGCCTCAGCCTCCCGAGTAGCTGGGATTACAGGCACCCACCACCATGCCTGCATACTTTTTTTGTATTTTTAGTAGAGACAGGGTTTCACCATCTTGGCCAGGCTGGTCTTGAACTCCTGACCTTGTGATCCACCCACCTTGGCCTCCCAAAATGCTGGGATTACAGGCATGAGCCACCACGCCTGGCCCAAGGATAGTTTTTTTAAAGATGACAATTTCATTTTCATTTCTTATTAAAGAGGCATAGTTCATTTGACATCCTCCTTATTTTGTGTTTCCTTTGTTTCTGATAGTTTTCTATATAAACTATGTTTTATTTTTTTTTCTCTACCCTGTGTCTCCATCATTGACACCCTCAACTGCTAGCCCACATCCCCACACACTCGCCTAAGTAATCACAAGTTACAAATTCTTTAACATTTTCCATTGGTGGTTACCTATACAAATTTCAATATATCTCTCTGTGAACTTGAGATTAAAGATATATATATTTATTGTTCCTTACCACGAAATATAAAGAAATTAAAGCAATGTTATCACCTCTTACCCTCCACTCTAAATTTCCCGTGGGCACCTTAAACTCACCAGTAGTTATGTGTTTAGTTCCTTAGCTTGCCTATTTGTGAATTCCTTATTTTGGTGCATATTTTTCTGTCTGGAGTAAATCTTCAAATAATTTTTTTTACAAGACATATATGAACTTTTAAAATCCTGTATCGGAGCTCATTTTCTAGATTTTTACATGCAAAAAAATTATTTAATATTTAATTACTTGGACATAATTTTATATTTAATACTTGTTAATATTGTTCTGTTGCTTTCTCTTACCTAAAATTGCTGAAAAGGAATCTGATATAAACTCATTTGCTTACCTTTATAGGGGTCTGCTTCTTCTACTGGGTAATGTATGATTTTTTTAAATCAGTGAATATCAGAAATTCACCAGTGTAATCTCTCTCCCCTCCCAACCATGAGCAGTGAGACTTCTAAATTATAGGACCATTTTAGTTAATTGAAGTATTTTCATTCTAACATTTCATTAAATAGTTTTTTCTGGTTTGCTTTTCAGATCATCAGTTATCCATATGTTGAATTCTTATGTCTATTTTATAATTCTTATTTTTAAAACATCCTTGATACTTTAAAAGTTAAGTTCTCAAGTATATTACTAATCTCATTTTTAAAATTGTCAGTATGTGTTCTGGTTTTAAACATTCTTATATTTTGTAGTAATATTAATTTTTCCATCATTCTTTTCCTTAGCACCACTATTTTTAGTTAATTCATCAACTAACCATTTTGTATCCAAAAATTTTAATTTTTCGTATTCAGGAATTTCTTTTCTTTAGTTTTCTTGATAATGCAGTAAAGTTGACTCTCATCTTTTGGAATGCTGTATTCATTTTAGGCATTCTTTTGCTGTAGCAGTTTTTCTTTCATATTTTAGGTGTTTCTGCTCATAACATCAGTAAAAGCAGTTGTCACTCTTCTTGATGATACTACTCTTACCACTGCTCCTATGACTCCTACTAACACAACTACACCTACCAACACCACCAAAAATTAGTCCTCTTTGATTATTACTCCTTTATAGGCCCTGTATCACTCAAGATCCAAACACACAACAAAATACAACTAAGAAGTTTCAAGAAACATTAACGTAAGAACTTACAGAGTTGTGGTCAGGATTAAGGGAACCAATAGAGGATGTTGAGGGACCCAGAGATCAGCAACAATGGGGTGCTTTCACCACTCCATAGGCAGGAAGAGGTGAGAGAAGGAGATAGTGTTACTGAAGAACCAAGCGGGGGGCCAAACGGAAAATAAACTGCAGAGTCACACATCGAACACCTTCATATATATTTTTTAATCTCCATAAAGAGGTAGATGTTACTATTACCTTAATTTTACATAAAAAGATACAAAGTATTATAGAACATATACAAGAACACAAAGCTAAAAAGTTACAGATCTGGACCTCTTAACCAAGTCACTCTGACTTAAGTAAGTCCCTATATGTCCTCACCCTCCCCAACAGTAACTAGTTTGTCAGATATTTACCGAGCTCTTTCTATGCCAGGCACTGCCAGAGGTATTAGACTTACAATAAAGAACAAAACTAGTATCGTGGTTGCCCTCATGCAACTTCTTTTCCTTTGGCCTAAGACAAATCTACATGTTCTACAATTTTCCCTAAGTTAATATGGATGACATCTTTGATTCTACTCAGAACTTTCTCTTCAAAAACAAGGTGATTTGCCTGTTTTTGGCATATGTTATCATTCATTTTCCTGAGTACCAAAGAAAGGAAGGTAGACACTGGCAATGTGATTGAAAAGATTTCTCCTGCTGTTTCTCTCAAAATCTGTTGGAAGTTCTGCCTCTACAGCCAGCAAACCTGGATGAGGTCCCAATTGGCAGCATAACAGCACATATGGTGTTGCTGGAAATGGGTTTGTCCTCCTGCTTCAGTGCGTTAGCCCTTGGATGAAAAAGTCAACCAGACTTACATACTGTACTTTTGTTTTTAGGGCCTTAAGAGTGTGGTCACCTCTGGTCCAAAGCTTATTTCACATTAGCCCTGATTCAGCTGTCTCTTCTAGTCTAGCTGAGCGGCAGTTGGTAAATTGCCTTATGCTAGACTCATGCGTAATGCCCATGTCTCACTACCCGGTGGATAGTCTTAGCGACTTTAATATTTATTTTTTTTCTGCAATGTCTTTATTTCTTTCACTTAGTTGAGATACTTCTGCTGTGTTGAGAAACTGGTGTCCTATATAAATTCAATTGAACCTGTGTCTTGATGATAATTATTGGATTTGTAGTATGAGATTAAGACCTTTCTAAAGTTCAGCATAGACAGTTTTTGTCACTCTATTATTTAGTTATTTTGGTTAAGTTTACTGCTATCAGGAGGGAAACTCTTGTAAACATGACTTAATGTCTGGAAATTTTCCATACGTGTTTGAAAGAATAAATGATTTGGCTATAGCAAAGAAAGAATGGGACCACATACCCAACTAGGTAACTAAATAAAGAGGAAAATAAGGATGTAGTACAAGAGTTAAGGTGAATAAGGTTCAGATTTTCTGTTCTTGAGTTTCAGATGAAAATAGGAAATTAAAATAGAAATTTCCTGCACGTAGTTGCAAATATAGACTTGCACTCAAATTCTGTAACTGGCTTCTATGAGAAATGGGATAAAAAGAACCAACAGTAAAGAATGAATAACTTGGGAGACAGTTACAGAGAGGGAAGAGAAGCAGGATTCAGCAGAGGAGACAGAAAGGAAACTGATGAAGTGCTGCACAATAGTATTTCATTTGATGTATTTTAATTGAATTTAATATCAAGAGATTCTTTGAGTTATAGGTCTTTCCTGCTATCACTAATGTTTCTTCATTTTTCACTTTGTATGTGCTTTATCCTTCCTAGTTCATTTAGGCATACTTCCATCATTAAGATAACATATCTATAAGGTGACAATTCCAACTAGATATCCCTATCAGAACAAACCTCAAGTATTGTGCAATGTAAAACCTTCATCATGGAATGAATATTAACGAATCATTTTCACAGGAAATGTTCTTTTATTGTAGACAAATTTGTGTTAGTGATTAGCACAGGAGTCTCTCCTTAATTAAAAGGCATTGCCAGGCTATTTCTCTCTTGATGACTAGATCCTTTTCATGCTGTTAATTCTCCATTGATAGCAATAGTTACAGCCAAGGTCTCCTAGTCACATATATGCTCTTCTTCTATCAGACCTTTATCCTTTTATTCAATATACCTTAATTAAGCCCCTATAACATAGTTATGCCAGATGTTGAGAGCAATTCAAAGATAATATGAGTGTCTCTGTCTTCAAGGAGATTACTATTCAGGGATTATTGATAGTCATTAGATTCAATTTTTTAAATTGTTTTATTTGTATTAAAATCTTTCATTATCTCTGGAATCTATGTAGCAATATAGAAATAATCATTCTTACATGAGAAAATTTATCTAATTTACTCAAGGGAGAAAAGAAATGTGAACTTAAGGGAAATTCAACTCACATTTCAAATTTGATCCTTCCCTCAGAAGCTATATCTGGCTTTAATAGAGTCATCTTTGATAAACATTAGCCTTGAATAGAGTATGCTCTCCAATTAATTACATGTTCAAAAATTATAATTAATGATTGATTAAGTGAGTCAACACACAGAACTTCCTCTTGTCCAGCACAGTGCTAGACAAGAGAAAGAAGTTTTTAAGTATGCCATAAATTGAGAACCAGCAGTAACATATAAAATAAATTTAAATACATTAACAGAGCATAGCCATGATCTTTACCTTAATTATGTATTGTTCTATTTCAAAATGGGTCAAATATAGTAGAGCAGACAATGAGGACTAAAACAGGCAGGGCAGATTAAAATGTCACAGAGAACAAAGAAGGGTGAAACCAATGTGAGCTGGAATAGTGGAGAAAATTTCCTTGAATTGCAAGGTATTGTCTTCTATTTAGTTCATCTTTTTAAATTCTATTTTCCCAGCTAGGTCCTTTAGTTGCTTCAATACTCATTATTTGACTCAGCTGTAGTATTGATTGAGTGTATAATTAACAGGTGAGAAGGCATTATTAAAGGCAGGTGGATAGGAAACCAAATAAGATCCCTATAAAAAACACTGTTGAAAAGACTACAATGAAGAGGTGAATATATGACTTGTTTTTAGAGCCACTTCCTCATTTTCACTAAACATACTACCTGGATTATATCCAGCGCTGAGCCTGCTGTGGGCCAGAGCTAATTTATCATGGTTGTGTTCTGGTCATAATTCCAGAAATTTGGGGAAGTGTTGTTCATATGAACCCAGAAAACAATTATGTGCTCTGTGCACATGTTTAACTAGACAATGATCAGAAATGACATTTTGTTACACAATGGCAAATTTGGATAGAATAAGTGAAGTTTTCTTGATTCCTGAATCCTCTTTGTACCAAACAAAATCACCAAAATGCACATGCATACAGAGCTAAAATGCTTTTGAATGTCCCTGATTTTTTAGTGTTTTTTTTTTTTCTGTTTCTAAGGCAGTTTGAACAAACCATTGCATTTTAATAGTGATAGTGGTGGCTACTAAGACACGAAGGTTCCTGTGCTCAACACAGGCCTCTCCTAAGTCCTTCTTTATCCTTCTCCTGTCTCTGCCTTTCTGTGTTGCAGTCACAGGTTTAAGTCAAAGGAGACCGCTATGAGGCAATAAGAAAAAGACAAAGGGAATCTTATAATTTCTCAGCTCTTGTGTGTAGAAACACCTTATACTTCTACAGCGAATGGGGTATATGGGTCAGTCTGTGCCCTCTTATTTGAACTTGATGCTGACAAGTGATTCAGACAAAATAGGCTATGAAATTTATTTTAGTAGATACATGTTATTTTTATCCAAAATGCATATAATGTCAGTACATTTAAAACTTAAAGTCAGCATATAAACAAGGCGTAGTGGTGCCCCATTATACTCTAGCTGAAAAAAACAGACCCAACATAGACTAGCCAGAGAATAAATATGACTGTATGTTAATTAACTACTAAATTATTAGTTAAAAGCAATAAATAATTAATAACATTTATTTTCACTTTTATGTAAATGCATTCTCTTTTATGTAAATGCATTCTTAAAAAACATTTCTATTGAAATAATATTCTATTATTATATTTATTACTGTCTTACAAAATGAAAACCATCCAGTTTCAACCTATGGGATTCAGCTGCAGCAATCGACACTGAACATCTTAAAATTTCTAATCCCTTTCAGACTCTCTGAGTGAAAAACAGAAAAAGGGGTAATTTTTTAAAAAAAACCCAAATAAAGAAAGTTGAGAAATTCTGTAGGGCAAATAAAACCTTTTGGTAAACCAAGAAAAGAAGGCAAAAAGCAAGAGGGTATAGGAAAACCAGCAAGAAAAATTTTAAGTGGAGGGAAAAAATAATTAAAACATGTTCTTACCAAGAAAAATAAAATCAATGGCACAAGGAAATTGAAGTAAAAGGGAGACATTTGAGAAAAGGCATTATCTGGGGTTAAGACAGAGTTGCACAGAAGTCAGACAGGTCTAGTCTCACTTGTTCACTAGTTATGTGACTTTCTGCAGGATATTGAATCTATCTGGGTATCACTTCCACCTCTGTAAGATCCCTTTTGCTTCAGAAATGTAAGCCCACTTCAAGTTCTCAAGTTCTTTTAGAGAAGACCTTTTCGATCTCTTTGTTTCTATGCTGCTAGAGTTAACTACTGAAAAATTAACACTAATGAACCAACTACAAATAGCAAAGTACTGATTGAATACTGCCTGTTTTAGAAGGTTAAAATAGTCAAGTAAGATGAATAATTGAGACCTTGTTTCTCCAGGTATATTTTCCCATATCTACTGACAATTCCCCTGAGTGTATGTGGCACCCTGATAGGCTAAGAATGACTGATATGGACTGATATCCCAGAAATACTGAATATTTCCTTAATGTTCTTTGAATAAAATGAAAGCAAGAGAAGAGAGATTTGTTTGTGATAATGAAGGATTAAACGCAGATTGATGGTTGTGCTTATGTAAAGATAAAATAAATTATTCAAGGAGTTTCTATGTTTTATAAGTGTTGTGCTTCTACTTTAGGTATTTCATTTAGTGTTTCCATTTTGATTATAAGTCATGCTGAAAATGACATAATTCATGTGAGGTGTTGTTAGAGGGTCTGGTATATGGCAAGTGTTCAATGACCATTAGCTTATTGTTAACCTGAAAGTGTGCTTATATTTCACAGCTTTTACCTTCCAGGTAAAAAGATGATCTAGCATAGGCACATTTATGCATTTACCATAGGCACGTTTATCCATTAGCAGTAAATAATAAGGAATAGGATTGGGAAGAGGAAAAAGACGGGGACATAGAAATTATTAAGAGAAATTTTTGCCATAATTTTTTCTAGTTCTGTCTCTGCCAATAATTAGTGTATACAAACACTTCAGAATCCCAAGTTCACAGCAGGAAGGAATAGTTGTTTAAATGTATGAATTAGAGTTTGATTTATCACAAAGGGAACTATCTTTTGGGATTATATTATTTTCCAGAATATGTAAAACATAAAGTTGCTTTATGATTTCATTTAGAAGAGTACTTTCCCCTCATGTTAAGTTCAGAAGAAAATGGCAATGCTTTGTGAACAGAAAGCAGGTATCTGACAAGGTCTGGCTTTAAAAATAATAATGGAACTGAATACATGAAGCCCCTTCAATGTAAATGAAGCTTCTACCATGAGGGAGGAGTTGGTGGAGGGACAAACAAAAATTGCAAGGAAAATCTCGCTGTGGCTGGAAAAAGATCATAACAATTTAGAAAGATTTGAGAAAAATTATGTCCTGATCTTTAGTTATGAATTTTGAGCCCCAAAAAAATGAATGTGTGGAAACCCTAAGACAGGTGAATGTGATTCAGAGTTATTTCTTAGATTAACAGGAAGAGTAACTTCCGCCTTTAAAATGGCCTGGACAAGGATCAAATAGCTAGAGCACATCAAAGGTAGGAGCACTGAAAAGACACTTAATACTCACTGATGGTCCTGATTTAGAAAAAGATATGCTAGCCGGTCGTAGTGGCTCATGCCTGTAATCCCAGCACTTTGGGAGGCTGAGGCGGGCAGATCACCTGAGGTCAATAGTTCAAGACCATCCTGGCCAACATGGTGAAACCTCCTCTCTACTAAAAATACAAAAATTAGCTGGGTATGGTGGCACACGCCTGTAGTCGAAGTTACTTGGGAGGCTGAGGCAGGAGAATTGCTTTAACCTGGAAGGTAGAGGTTGCAATGAGCTGAGATTGTGCCATTGCACTCCAGCCTGGGCAACAAGAGCAAAACTCTGCCTCAAAACAAAACAAAACAACAATAACAACAAAAAATCAAAAAGAAAAAAAAGAAGGCCAGGTGCAATGGCTCAGCACTTAGGGAGGCCAAGGCGGGTGTATCACCTGAGTTCAGGAATTTGAGACCAGCCTCACCAACATGGTAAAACCCTGTCTCTACTAAAATACAAAAATTATCCAGATATGGTGGTGGGTGCCTGTAATCCCAGCTACTTGGGAGACTGAGGCATGAGAATCGCTTGAACCCGGGAGGCAGAGGTTGCAATGAGCTGAGATCACACCACTGCACTCCAGCCTGGGTGACAGAGCAAGACTTTGTCTCAAAAAAAAAAAAAAAAAAGAAAAAGAAAAAGGTACACTAGTAAATGTATAATTGCTTAAAATATCAAGACACCAAACCACCGGAAAACTATAAACACATCAATTTCCAGCGCTTTCGTATACTAAAATCAAATACGTGAAAGGATAAATATCAGTATTAAAGGAGAATAAGGAAGTCCAAAGATTGATTAATCAATGATTGACACAGTTGAGTATGGGTGTGAGAAAAGAGCCACATAGTATCCTTCCTGATATTAAAAAAAAAATGCTATAAGGTTTATTCAGTTGGTTCACAGTTGTACATGGCAGGCACTGTTTTGGGTCATAGGAGAACGCTGGATGACTTGAAGGTTTCTATTGAAAAGGAACTCAAAGTTTTGTGCATTAAAACACAGAAATAAATTGTTATAGCACTGAGTGATGAGAGTTTCACATAGCCAAGGGAAGGAGAAAGTGCATTGGAAGCCCAGTGAAGCGAGCAGCCACAGTGTGGAAAAGGTGGAGAAGGATGGCGACTCGGTTCAAAGGAGATCTGATGTGAGTCCTGAAAGACAGGAAGTTTCTAGGAAGAGAAGGGGGATGAGGAAGGACATTCCTCACAGAATAAACAGCATTAACACAATGCGAAGGGGTGAAAGGGCAGGGACCAATAGGGCACAGGAGAGGGGTCTGGGTGAAGGACCTGTTGGAAGCATTGTGAGAAGACCTGAGCCAGGAGATGAGGCTGCTTGCTGGGATGATTGCAGAAGACTTTGTAGGTCCTGTTGAAGAGTTGGAACTTTATCCTGTAGGCAGTGGGGGTGCTTCACAGTGAAAGATGTGTGTTTTTGAGAGATGGCACTGGTGACAATGTGGATGGTGGATTTTAGAAGAATGTGATTAAAGGTAAGAACACTTGAGAGTGCTATTCTCAATTTTGCAGGTGAGAAATTATAAAGGCTTTGATAAAGGCAGTGTCAGGGTAGTACAGATAACAGAAGGACTTCTCTGAGGGCTTGGATGATTGGACTCCATGGGGATGGTAAAGGAGAGAGAGCATTAAGGATGACTGGTTTCTTTCTAGAGGGGTGAATGTTGCATCATGTAGGGCCGGAGGAGGAGGAGCAAGTGATAGGTTTCTATTAAGACAGACAGGGCTTGCGGCACCAGTGAGAAACCCTGGTAATTTTTTAGGAAGCCAAAAAGATCCAGACTGGAGATACAAATAATTATTCAATGACTTATGGGTCCTAGTTAAAAATCATGACAATGAATGAAATTATCAAGTAAGTATGTGTAGGAAAAAGATAAATAGAAGACCAAGGATAGAATCCTTGGGAACACTGAGATGTTGGAGGCACCAGAACAGGGATTGGAGACAACAAAATGATGCAAGAAGCAGCAGTCAGAGAAATTGGTGGAAAACCAGTAGAGTTATATTTTGGCTAAACTATTGTATAAGAAATTGCATCATGGACTATTGTTACTATAATGTTATCCAAATGTGAGCATATCTAGTCAGTGGTGCCACGGAGTCATATTTAGGTACCCCTACTCTCCTTGTGGAAATAACAAAAATTGCAGGTACAATTCACAATCAATAAATTGAAAGCCATTACTATACTACATTAAATATTGACCGAACCTGGCTGGACGCGGTGGTGCAAGCCTGTAATCCCAACACTTTGGAACGCCAAGGCAGGTGGATCACCTGAGGTCAGGAGTTTGTGACCAGCCTGACTAACATGGTGAAACCCCATCTCTACTAAATACAAAAAAATTAGCCAGGCATGGTGGCGCATGCCTGTAATCCCAGCTACTTGGGAGGCTGAGACAGGAGAATCACTTGTACCTGAGAGGCGGAGGTCGCAGTGAGCCAAGACTGTGTCACTGCACTCCAGCCTGGGCAACAAGAGCAAAACTCTGTCTCAAAAAATATATATATATACACATATATATGTGTATATACGAGTATATATATTGTATATACATATATACATGTATATACACATATATACTCGTATATACACATATACACACGTATATGTACATATGTATACACACGTATATGTACATATGTATACACACGTATATGTACATATGTATACACACGTATATGTACATATGTATACACACGTATATGTACATATGTATATACACGTATATGTATATACACATATATGTATATATGTATATACACATATATGTATATATGTATATGTGTATATACATATATATGTATATACATATACAATATATGTATTGTATGTATATATATGTGTATATATATACACTATATATATGTATATATTGACCAAACCTACATCCCATTGACAAAAATGCATGGGATAAGCAATTACTTTATAGGCAAGCACTAAGGATTATTGAAGGTAGTAGTGCCTTGTCCAAACATATAAAAGTGGTAATAAACATGTAAAAGAGTTCAAATGAGTAATATGCTGGATGTTACCATATCCTTCCCATTTTTCACAAGATGTATATATACACATGTATTTAAACACGCAAGGAATCATGTAGAATATACTACTTTGGACTCATTTAAGAACATCAAGGTAACTATCTAGCTAGTAAAACTTATATGAGGTCTCGCTTGCTTCTCTTCCCAGAGGAAAAATGTTTCACTACACTCATTCACACACTCCATGTGTTTTCTCCATCAGTAAATACATGCCTTATGCCAAAATAAACTGGCCCAGAAAGAGTAAATAAATGATTTAGTACAATCCATTATCAGTACTGGAAAAAATTGGAGTGTATAACTTCTACAGACTGAGTCAGGAACACCAGGTTTTCACATGATGGTTGATGCGTGCTGTAGTGAGAAATGGGGACCTGAGGGACAGTTGTGATGTGGATGGGTGCCATCACATCCTGTGAGCTCAGGCTCGCCACAATGTATTAGGTTGCAACATATTATGTTTCCCTACTCTGGGGTCTGTCTCCTCCATGGAACTATAAGCTCCTCAAGGACAAGAACAGCATCATACTCATTTTTCAACCATACCTGGCATAACGTAAATAATAAATCCATTAGGCTGAATCAACTTATAAGCAATAGGGGTTGTCATCCTAAAGAGAGGAAGAAAAGCCTAGCATAACCATAACATACGTGGGAAATGGCTAAACCAATCCAAACAAGTGGGGCAATGTGGTTGTTTATGTTTATTTAACAGTGCAGAGAAGTACTGTCCTCTAGCAGAGAAGAGAACAAAGAGTAAATGTTTTCAGTTAAAAGAGCTCAGTTGGCAAGGGGGCCCATGCTTCAGCCATGGTACACAAGGAAATGCCATTCACTCCACCAATCAAGACAGATTTCTAGGTATGCTTTACACAAAACCCTGGGGTTTACCTTTGTGACACTTTGAGTTATTTGTTGAATGAAACTATTCTGACTGTGTTAGGTTATGGGGAGTTGTAAGCAAATAACATATTCTGGCATATAGTAGATATCAGAAAAATTATTAAATAAATATACTTGAATTTTAACTCTCAAAGTGCCTATTATAAATTGTAGGCTACTATTAACTGTGGCTGAGAACTGGCCATAAACATTCTTGGAAGGCCTGAGCTCAAGCCAGGGCAGTTAAAATACTACCAATCCATTTGTAACAATCATCAGCAATATTTACATAGTTCCAGATACTGTTGTAGGTTGTTCACATGTATTAGCTCATTTAGCCCCCATTTATAATCCCGTGGGATAATTATTATTATCCTGATTTTGTGGATGGAGAAACTGAGGCATAGAGAGACATGGAAGACTGAAAGAGACATGGAAGACCCCCCCCGCCGCCAACGCCATCCTAAACTCTTATTGGGGAAGCCCTGGCTACTCACAATTACCAAGTCACAGGGAGCATGCATCAACAGTTAGAGGTCATCAAAACATGAGGGACCAAGAATAGAGGATATGGAACAAAGGAATTAGCACTCTAGTCATTGGTTCAGGTAACTCTGATAGTATATAGTAAGGAAGATTAGGAACAAGCCTAGATTTCTGAGATATCGTAAAGGAGCCTAGGGCCACCACAATGGTAGACATTTAGAAAGGTCATGATTATTTCTGTATAGAAGTCAGGCTTAATAATACTGCTCCAAGTGCTATAACCTTTGGGAGCTAAATCACATTTGAAGAGGAAGGAAAATTACCAATGTCTTAGAGGGACAGGACTAGACTAAGCAAAGAGTGACTCACACAAGGTAAATTTAAACTTCCTCAAGTTGTGTATTTAATTCCATTTGAAGTTTAAGGACTCATAGTTACTGGGAAGCAGACATTTATATAGTAATATTTCTAAGATATCACTCAAATTTAGGTCAACTTTTCAGGTGATATATGAGATCATCCAGTTCAATTCAAACATCTCCCCTCTACCATGAACACCAGCTCATTTCATCTGGAAAAAAGCAAGAGAAACTATGCACTACAGTTTTACTTATTGAATATGTAAAACATCTAATAAATAAGTGAACTATGTGACAGAGTAATGGGGAATTCTTTATTCTGGTAACTAACAAAAATGTTAATTTTCTAGAAAGGTGGTGCCATAGAGGGAGAGGATGGTGAGGGGAAGGATTTAACCTTCTAAGTTACTTGGAATCTACGAATCTCCTGAAATTCTAAATAATGGTTTATGTACATGTGCTTTTTTATTATTATTATACTTTAAGTTCTAGGGTACATGTGCACAACATGCAGTTTTGTTACATATGTATACTTGTGCCATGTTGGTGTGCCGCACCCATTAACTCATCATTTACATTAGGTATATCTCCTAATGCTATCCCTCCCCCCTCCCCCCACCCCACAACAGGCCCCGGTGTGTGATGTTCCCCTTCCTGTGTCCAAGTGTTCTCATTGTTCCACTCCCACCTATGAGTAAGAACATGAGGTGTTTGGTTTTTTGTCCTTACGATAGTTTGCTGAGAATGATGGTTTCCAGCTTCATCCATGTCCCTGCAAAAGACATGAACTCTTCATTTTTTATGGCTGCATAGTATTCCATGGTGTATATGTGCCACATTTTCTTAATCCAGTCTATCATTGATGGACATTCGGGTTGGTTCCAAGTCTTTGCTACTTTGAATAGTGCAATAAACACACATGTGCATGTGTCTTTATAGCAGCATGATTTATAATCCTTTCTGTATATACCCAGTAATGGGATTGCTGGGTCAAATGGTATTTCTAGTTCTAGATCCTTGAGGAATCACCACAGTGTCTTCCACAATGGTTTAACTAGTTCACAGTCCCACCAACAGTGTAAAAGTGTTCCTATTTCTCCACATTCTGTCCAGGACCTGTTGTTTCCTGACTTTTTAATGATTGCCATTCTAACTGGTGTGAGATGGTATCTCATTGTGGTTTTGATTTACATTTCTCTGATGGCCAGTGATGATGAGAATTTTTTCATGTGTGTGTTGGCTGCATAAATGTCTTCTTTTGAAAAGTATCTGTTTGTATCCTTCACCCACTTTTTGATGGGGTTGTTTTTTTCTTGTAAATTTGTTTGAGTTCTTTCTAGATTCTGGATATTAGCCCTTTGTCAGATGAGTGGATTGCAAAAATTTTCTCCCATTCTGTAGGTTGCCTGTTCACGCTGATGGTAGTTTCTTTTGCTGTGCAGAAGCTCTTTAGTTTAACTAGATCCCATTTGACACTTTTGGCTTTGGTTGCCATTGCTTTTGGTGTGTTAGACATGAAGTCCTTGCCCATGCCTATGTCCTGAAGGGTGTTGCCTAGGTTTTCTTCTAGGGTTTTAATGGTTTTAGGTCTAACATTTAAGTCTTTAATTCATGTTGAATTAGTTTTTGTATAAGGTATAAGGAAGGGATTCAATTTCAGCTTTATGTGTATGGCTAGCCAGTTTTCCCAGCACCATTTACTGAATAGGGAATCCTTTCCCCATTTCTTGTTTTTGTCAGGTTTGTCAAAGATCAGATGGTTGTAGATGTGTGATATTAGACAGATCAATAAGACAGAAAGTTAACAAGGATATCCAGGAATTGAACTCAGCTCTGCACCAAGCAGACCTAATAGACATCTACAGAACTCTCCACCCCAAATCAACAAATACACATTCTTCTCAGCACCACATCACACTTACTCCAAAATTGACCACATAGTTGGAAATAAAGCACTCCTCAGCAAATGTAAAAGAACAGAAGTTATAACAAACTCTCTCTCAGACCACAGTGCAATCAAACTAGAACTCAGGATTAAGAAACTCACTCAAAACCGCTCAACTACATGGGAACTGAACAACCTGCTCTTGAATGACTACTGGGTACATAACGAAATGAAGGCAGAAATAAAGATGTTCTTTGAAACCAACGAGAATAAAGACACAACATACCAGAATCTCTGGCACACATTTAAAGCAGTGTGTAGAGGGAAATTTATAGCACTAAATGCCCACAAGAGAAAGCAGGAAAGATCTAAAATTGACACCCTAACATCACAATTAAAAGAACTAGACAAGCAAGAGCAAACACATTCAAAAGCTAGCAGAAGGCAAGAAATAACTAAGATCAGAGCAGAATTGAAGGAAATAGAGACACAAAAAACCCTTCAAAAAATCAATGAATCCAGGAGCTGGTTTTTTGAAAAGATCAACAAAATTGATAGACCACTAGCAAGACTAATAGAGAAGAAAAGAGAGAGGAATCAAATAGACGCAATAAAAAATGATAAAGGGGATATCACCACCGATCCCACAGAAATACAAACTACCATCAGAGAATACTACAAACACCTCTACGCAAATAAACTAGAAAATCTAGAAGAAATGGATAAATTCCTCAACACATACACCCTCACAAGACTAAACCAGGAAGAAGTTGAATCTCTGAATAGACCAATAACAGGCTCTGAAATTGAGACAATAATTAATAGCTTACTAACCAAAAAATGTCCAGGACCTGACGGATTCACAGCCGAATTCTACCAGAGGTACAAGGAGGAGCTGGTACTATTCCTTCTGAAACTATTCCAATCAATAGAAAAAGAGGGAATCCTCCCTAACTCATTTTATGAGGCCAGCATCATCCTGATACCAAAGCCTGGCAGAGACACAACAAAAAAAGCGAATTTTAGACCAATATGCCTGATGAACATCGATGCAAAAATCCTCAGTAAAATACTGGCAAACCGAATCCAGCAGCACATCAAAAAGCTTATCCACCATGATCAAGTGGGCTTCATCCATGGGATGCAAGGCTGGTTCAACACACGAAAATCAATAAAAGTAATCCATCATATAAACAGAACCAAAGACAAAACCCACATGATTATCTCAATAGATGCAGAAAAGGCCTTCAACAAAATTCAACAATGCTTCATGCTAAAAACTCTCAATAATTTAGGTATTGATGGGACGAATCTCAAAATAATAAGAGCTATTTATGACAAACCCACAGCCAATATCATACTGAATGGGCAAAAACTGGAAGCATTCCCTTTGAAAACTGGCATAAGACAAGGATGCCATCTCTCACCACTCCTATTCAACATAGTGTTGGAAGTTCTGGCCAGGGCAATCAGGCAGGAGAAAGAAATAAAGGGTATTCAATTAGGAAAAGAGGAAGTCAAATTGTCCCTGTTTGCAGATGACATGATTGCATATCTAGAAAACCCCATCGTCTCAGCCCAAAATCTCCTTAAGCTGATAATCAACTTCAGCAAAGTCTCAGGATACAAAATTAATGCACAAAAATCACAAGCATTCTTATACACCAATAACAGACAAACAGAAAGCCAAATCATGAGTGAACTCCCATTCACAATTGCTTCAAAGAGAATAAAATACCTAGGAATCCAACTTAAAAGGGATGTGAAGGACCTCTTCAAGGAGAACTACAAACCACTGCTCAGTGAAATAAAAGAGGACACAAACAAATGGAAGAACATTCCATGCTCATGGATAGGAAGAATCAATATCGTGAAAATGGCCATACTGCCCAAGGTAATTTACAGATTCAATGCCATCCCCATCAAGCTACCAACGACTTTCTTCACAGAACTGGAAAAAACTACTTAGAAGTTCACATGGAACCAAAAAAGAGCCCGCATTGCCAAGTCAATCCTAAGCCAAAAGAACAAAGCTGGAGGCATCAGGCTACCTGACTTCAAACTATTCTACAAGACTACAGTAACTAAAACAGCATGGTACTGGTACCAAAACAGAGATATAGACCAATGGAACCGAACAGAGCCCTCAGAAGTATATGTTCTTTTAAATAGAAAAATATGTAACTTTTTTGTTTAATTGCCAAAGCAGTCTGGGACCCAGAAAAGACCAAGAATCACAGGTATAAAGAAAATAAATTGGCCGGGCGCGGTGGCTCACGCCTGTAATCCCAGCACTTTGGGAGGCCGAGGCGGGCGGATCACGAGGTCAGGAGATCGAGACCATCCCGGCTAAAACGGTGAAACCCCGTCTCTACTAAAAATACAAAAAATTAGCCGGGCGTAGTGGCGGGTGCCTGTAGTCCCAGCTACTTGGGAGGCTGAGGCAGGAGAATGGCGTGAACCCGGGAGGCGGAGCTTGCAGTGAGCCGAGATCCCGCCACTGCACTCCAGCCTGGGCGACAGAGCGAGACTCCGTCTCAAAAAAAAAAGAAAAGAAATTAAATTTTTTTTAAAGTTTAGAATTTGCTGTGCCTACTAAATATTCCACACTGAATTGGAGGGATATCAAAAAGAATTTTCACCAGAGAGAGGTTAAACTGGTCATTACAATTCATACTTTCTCCTTAGAAAACATACATTTGTATTTTAGTGCAAATTCATCATAATAACTGAAGAAGAGCCTGGCTCTGATGTGAGATCCTCAGGTTCAAATTCCAAACCCACCTCTTACCAGCTGCATAAGCGGAGAGATCTAACATCTCTCTTGCTCAGCTTTCTCCTCAATGAAATGAATATACAATGATATCTTCCTCCTACTGATGTTAAGAGGATTAAGTTACATTAAGTTCATGAAACCCGTATCAAAGAACCTGACACTCTGAAAACACTTACAAAATGTAAGCTATTATGTTTATATAAGTGTGGTGAAGTGTTGTATCAAGAAAATAATTTTTCCCAATTTGCCAGGTTTTTTTCAGAGATCCATGATGGCTCAGAAGTCAGTCATGAAGAAGCCCAGTCTTCATCTGCGTTTACTCTATTGTTTTTGTATTACTTTGTTAGGTACCGAGAAATCCACAGTTTGTAAAATGCTTTTGTTTTCTAATGATGACATGTTGCCAGGTTTTTGCCAAGCTTCCTCAAATATGAGTTGTAATTTAATTTTAAGTAAAATTTGAAACCCTTGGCACTCCTACTTGGCAACATAGAACTTCCTATTCTTAGGACAAAAGGCTTAACGAGTTCCTTTGAGTTTTCACAAAACAACATGTGTGTGAATAAAGAAATAATCCAAAAACACATAATTAAATTTCCCTTAAAATAAGCATTCTCTCAGTTCCTTTGTTTTTAATTAGAGGAGAAACATTTACTAAACATTGAGTTAGTTACTTTGAATTTTTAAGAATAGTATGGAATGCTTCATGACAAAATTAAGACATTTAGCCAAAAGTGATTCCTTTTGAGGGTGGATTATGATTTGTCTCCAGGATTTACCTACAGAGAAAGGTAACAGAGTTTATTCACATAATAGGTTCATTCATTCCTTGAGAGCATGTAAGCAGCTCCCCTTAAAATTATTGTTCAGATAGACAGACACAGAAAAAGAGGATGTAAAGATAGTGGCAGAGATTGGTGTTATAAGATTAAAATAAGATGTTTTGTTAAAGGGATGCAGTGCGAAATAAGCATGTCATGGGGAATGGGGTATCCATCCACTCAAGCATTTATACTTTGAGTTACAAGCAATCCATTACAGTATTACTTTAAATATACACTTTAGTTATTATTCACCCTGTTGAGCTATCAAATAGTAGATTTTATACATTCTATTTTTTTTATACCCAGTAATCCATCCCCACTCCCTATCCTGAGCCTCCGCCTCTGGTAACCATCCTTCTACTCTCTATGTCCATGAGTTCAATTGTTTTGATTTTTACATACCACAAATAAGTGAGAACATGCAAAGTTGCCTTTCTGTGCCTGGCTTATTTCACTTAACAATTTCCACTTCTATCCATGTTGTTGCAAATGACTGGATCTCATTCTTTTTTTAATGACTGAATAGTACTCCATTGTGTATATATGTACCACATTTTCTTTATCCATTCATCTGCTGATGGACACTTAGGTTGCTTCCAAATCTTAGATATTGTACACAGTGCTGCAACATACATAGAAGTGCAGATATCTCTTTGACATACTGATTTCCTTTCTTTTGGGTATATACTCAGCAGTGGGATTGCTGGATCATACAGCAGCTCTATTTTAATTTCTTGAGGAAGCTCCAAACTCTTCATCATAGTGATAGTATAAATTTACATTCCTACTGACAGTGTTCAAGGTTTCCCTTTTTTCCACATCCTCACCAGCATTTGTTATTGCCTGTCTTTTGGAAATAAGCCATTTTAATTGAGTAAGAAGATATCTTATTGTAGTTTTGATTTGCATTTCTCTGATGATCAATGATGTTGATAGGCCTGTTTGCCATTTGTATGTCTTCTTTTAAGAAAATGTCTATTCAGCCGGGCAAGGTGGCTCACGCCTGTAATCCCAGCACTTTGGGAGGCCAAGGCAGGCAGATCACTTGAGGTCAGGAGTTCGAGACCAGCCTCGCCAACATAGTGAAACCCTGTCTCTACTAAAAATACAAAAATTAGCCAAATGTGGTGGCAGGTGCCTGTAATCCAAGCTACTCAGAAGGCTGAGCTCAGCAGGAGAATCACTTGAAGCCAGGAGGCAGAGGTTGCAGTGAGCTGAGATCATGACACCACACCCCAGCCTGGGCAACAGAGTGAGACTTTGTGTCAAAAAAAAAAAAAAAAAAAAAAAAAAAGAAAGAAAAAAGAAAAGAAAAAAAAAGAAGAAGAAAAAGAAATGTCTATTCAACTCTTTTGCTCATTTTTTCATCAAATTATCAGATTTTTTTTCCTATAAAGTTATTTGAGTTCCTTATATATTCTGGTTATTAATTCCTTGTCAGATGGATAGTTTGCAAATACTTTCTCCCATTCTTTGCATTGTCTGTTCACTTTATTGTTTCTTTTGCTGTGTGGAAGCTTTTTAACTTGATATGATCCCATTTGCCTATTTTTGCTTTCATTGCCTGTGCTTGTGGGGTCTTTCTCAAGAAATTTTTGCTCAGATCGATGTCCTAGAGATTTTCTCCAATGTTTTCTTGTAGTATTTTCATAGTTTGACGTCTTAGATTTAAATTTTTAATACGTTTTGATTTGAGTTTTGTGTATGGCAAGATATAGTGTCTAGCTTCATTCTTCTGCATATGGATACCCAGTTTCCCAGCTCCATTTAATGAAGAGACTGTCTTTTCCCCAGTGTATGTTCTTGGCACCTTTGTTGAAAATCAGTTCACTGTAGATGTATGGATTTGTTCCTAAGTTCTCTGTTGTGTTTCATTGGTCTATGTGTCTGTTTTTATGCCAGTACCACACTGTTTTGTTTACTATAGCCCTGCATTACAAGTTGAAGTCAGATAATGTGATTCCTCTAGTTTTGTTCCTTTTACTTAGGATAGCTTTGGCTATTCTGGATCTTTTGTGGTTCCATATAAATATCAGGATTGTTTTTTTCTATTTCTGTTTCTATTTCTTTTTTTTTTCTACTTCTGAGAAGAATGTCATTGGTCTGTTGATAGGGGTTGCATTGTAACTGTATAGGCATATTTCTACAGATAAAGAATCTGTCATTACAAAAATACTATTTTCTAACCATGGGAGTCATAATGATTCCATCAGTCCATTACTCCATTACAGAGCTAGACAAGACTGACATTTCTAAGGTACCAATGCCAGCCTCCTTTTTAACCCACTTTAGATTTAACTTGAACTAGCATTTGTTAAATGCCTACTATATGTGTGTTACCCTGCTTTATGTTTGCACCCACAAACAAGTATACAAATAGTCCCAAATGAGATTACATTACATAATAAGAGTATTTACTACAATTTTATGAATGACACCAAAGCACAATAAGGGAAAGTATTAGCTTATGTAAAAATTTGCATGCATCCAAATACCCTTCTGACTTTGGGTTTGAAAATATCCTTTATTCCAAGTACTAATAAATCCAAATGATATAAAAACTACAATCAATATTAATTAATGCTCACCAAAAAGGAATTTTCAGAGCAGCTTGCGAAAGTCTCCAATAAAGAAGTCAGGTAGAGGTTTAATGAGTAAGCCTGAAGACAAACATACAAAATATCAAAATATGTTTGGATATGACCAAAACACAGAAAACAGTTGAGGAGGCCATTTAGAAAAATGCCCTTTGATTGTTCAAACTTTTCCAATTAAGGGGATATGATAATTGTATATAGGCCGTGGCATCAAGCATATATGTTAGAAATCACCCACACCTTTCCACATATAATACTAAATTTAAAATCACCAAAAAAAGTAAATATAAATGCCCCCATGTTACTAAACCATGTAGATGAAAAGTAAAAATTCAAGTCACTTTTTAGGTAGTATAGATGTATAAAACATCCATATCTTTTCAAATGTCCTAGTACTTAAATCATTAAACATTTTGACCATCTTCTCTTTTTTCCTCCTTTCTCTCAACATATACTCTCTTAACAATCACTAGGTTTCTGTTATTACTGCTGTAGAACTCCTAGATCTATGATTCCATCCTGATATGAGCCCAGCACTAATGAAAACTCTGCTCCACCTTTCCACTTGGTAGTCTACCTACACTTCAAGCTCAATATGCATCAAATTGAATATATTCTCGTCCCTCGAACACATGCTTTCACATGACATATAAATTTGGTTTATGGCACCATGAAAATCAACAGTACTCACATTCAAATTGAATGCCAACTGACACCGATTCTACAATTGGCAGATCTAGAATACATATCCTTTCCTAACTTCATTCTTATTATATTAATCCAAACCTTAATTATCATCCCTTGCCTTCACCAGTGCAAAATTTCCTAGTTCTTTTTCTTTGGCCTACTGTTAATCCTTGATTTAACATTTACAGCTCCAGCTACCTTTACAACTTTACATCTCAGACTATTGCTTAATGGATACCAATTTTATGAGGCAATCCCTTCTCACATTCTGGGGCAAGTGCCCCACTCTTTTTCCCTTTCCAGTCTAACCAAAAATGTTCCTACCATATTCCAATTATATGATTTGAATGGGAATCATCATGTTCTAATGGATTGTGCCTTCCCTTCTCTCCAATATCCTCATTTAAGTCTTACTTGTGTTTTCTGCATTTTTACAACCGAAGTGTCTCTGTTATATGGCCCAAACTCCAGCTAGAATGAAAACATTCACTTTAAAGCTCAACTGAATGTCATCTTGTCCAGAAGGCATTCCTGAATCTCCCAGCTATGTTTAAGTAATCTGCTTAGGCATAAGAGTTTGTTTACATCTCTTTTGTGGCACTCTCTAATATCTTTATAACTTCCATAACAATTATAGTATATGTGCATAACTTTCTCCCCTTTTATACTCTAAGCTCCTTGGTGATAAGGCCATATGTATTATAAACAACCAGGAAATGTCGAATAAATGATTGGATGGATGAAGAGAAAAAAATTTTTGCAAAGGATTTTCTAGTGCTTTTTATTTTTCACTCAGATGTTTGGCATCACAGAGACACTTCTAAAAAGGAAATAAATTAATTGGTCACAAACAATGTTTTCTCTTAGCTCCCATTCAAATCATTGTGAACCACAATGTTCTAACTGCATGTTTGTGCTTCCTCAACTTTCATAGCCAAACACCTGCAGTTAACCAACCACACATACCAAAGTATTTTTAACATGACTCAAACTGATCTGGGGAATTGACAACTTCTCAACCTCCAGCTGAATACCAAGCTAAATGTCAGTAGTTTCACAGAGACTCTTTTAATGACATGGGAAAGCCTGAGATTTCTCTTTTTTCATGAAGTGACACCCTTGCCTGAGAAAGCTCTATCATATCTCTTCCACTGGATTAACAGTGCAGACATCTCTATTGTGGATAAACCAAAAGGATCTAGAAGTTCTGGAAGGTTTTATTTTCAAATTCTCTACACCTATTATTGTACCAGACAACTAGGCTGAGAGAAAATGCAAATGATTCTTAGCTATTACAGTCATTCTCACAGACTCTCCTTCCATTTCAATGTATTTCAAGCAAAAAAGTGCTACTAAAATTCTTTTCCCCTTTAGAGCAGCAGTAATACCAACTACGCCACTACATATCATTTTTAAACAAGGCTCCATGACTTTCAAAATCCAGGTCAACACGTCAGAAATATTTCCTCTAATAACTTTATGTTTTAAGACACACTAAGCTAGCTATATTCTTAGCTATATACTTCAAGATTACCTCTCTACAAGCAATAATACAAGGCCAAATTTTTCTCCTGTATAACACTGTTTTATAAAGTTTGTAGTTATTTAATTTTTAGTGAGCAAATAGAATAGTACTTTATCGCAGGCTTTGAATACCTTAAGAAACAACAGTAAGGAATTTATTATTTATATTACACCTCATATATTAATGAATGCATTTTATGTGTGGGGTTATTAATAACCATACAATGAAAAGGAAAAATGTAATTTATTTTGATCTGAAAAAATACATATACATTTCCCTACTGAGCAAAAAGTTCAAAACCACGTAACATGGTTTTTAAGAGATTTGCATATAAGGATAACCAATATCAAAATCGAACTTCAAAAGTACTGAATATTTACCATGCACATTAATATCCCACTAAGCTTTAGGCAACAAAATATGCTGGACTTTTGCTTCTCCAGAGGCTAGCTGCACACTTTGGGGTTTGTGTAAAAATAATTATGTGTGTATTCTCAACCAATTATTTTAGTCACCTTTCTATGCCCCTTAAAACCAAAAAGTGAATGCTCTATATGAAAACATCCTACCTTACCTGATCTAGGCGTTATTTCCTGACTTGTTTCTAAGGCAACACATGCTCGAGATTGTTGCTTATGTGGTATCTCAAATGACAGCAGAAATATTTCATCCCAAATCTGTGTTCTACCCACCTGATACAAGATAGAAAATTTCTGCCATTTTTGTTTTATTGGGTCTTTTTTGTTTAACATTATGGGCACATTTAACAAACTGAAGGAAAAGAAAGAAACACCAAAAACTCAGAATTCATTTGTAGGAGGATCTTCAAGCCACCTGAATGGAACATTCCTCTCTAATCTTCCACTTGTAGAAACTGCATTACAACTTGCTGCTACCTTCCATTTCTGTTTTTTCTGTAATATATTACTCTCTATTTTTCTCTAATTTTGATATTGAATTGCAGAAAAAAGATTTTCACAAGGTGTAGGAGAGGGATTCAGGCTACTTGGAACATATTTAGGGAGACAACAAGGTTATTTTGCCTAGAAATCTTTTGAACTTCTCCCTAGCATCCCATACAGCATGGTACAAGTTGAGTTTCCTGAGTTTTGGCTTTATCCAGGTACTTTTGATCATCTGTACATGAAGCATTGTGCTACTTTCAGGCTGGAATTAGCCAAGCACATGAAAGCCACCATTCCTTGAAACCTGGATGAAAATAAAACAAAAACTGGTAGTCAGGCTATTGCCACAATTTAGATTCATAGCATTTAATTCAATATGCATTTACTAAAAAGTTATGATGTTCGAGACACTGAACTTGACCTCAAGGAGTTTCACACATCAAGATAAGGAAGAATGTCAAAGAAACTTAGATGCCACGTCTTTTTTGTCTAAAAAAAGGGGAGAGAAGCTAGGATATATAGTCTTGATTTTGTGTTCTGAGAGCTGGAAGCAAGATTTTCATAGCCTTGAAAATAAATATAGCAGACTAGAAATAATACTGATAATTTTTTTGAAGTCAGTGTAATAAAGGACTAAAATATTAATAAATTTGAATTATTATTATTTATCATTACTATTACTTTCTACTTTACAACTAAAAGAACTTTTTATCCCACCTGTGGGAATTTCAGAGCTCAAAGAACAAACACGTATTGGGCAATTAATCCATGTCAGGCATTACACTAGGAATTATACATCTTTTTGCTTAGCACAGTGCTGAGATTGATCTTGGCCTTGCAAAATATTGACAGAAAAACTAGAATATGTTTTAATTTTTTTAGGTCTCCATGAAGTAACTTCTAGCTTTGTATGAAGGAAATTCCCAGAACATGAACCACGTCCATCTTGAAACCAAAAAGCAAATGCTGATGAATTCTGAATTTCCAGCTGCCTGGGACTCACTTATTGAACTCCATTATCAGTGTTAAATGAAACCATGTTGGAGCCCGAGGTAAAAAGAAAAAAATTAAAAGTGTGAATCTACATATACCTAACAAAATATCCTCCTATATTTTGAACCAAGTGGGAAAGTTAACAAAAGTTCTACAATTAAAATAGTTTACACATCATTGTCAGCCTTCATAGATCCTCCTGGCAGAAGCCAAGAGGGTTGCACTGGCTGAGAATTGTGAGCTGATTGGAAACAACTGTTCCTGTTGCATAATAACACAGGACTGTCAGGCAAACAAACAAGATGTCTTTATTTACATTTTTGTTTTTTTAATCATGAATTTTTGCATTAATTTTGATTTTTTAAAATATTGTATTAAAATACTGTTTTCATTTCTGAGTTTTTTGGTACCTTCTTAAATTTTTCTCTGAGGTAGTGATGCTAATCCCAGCTCAGCCTTGTTCATTATTATAATTTATCTAACGTTGACTTCAGTTTCAAAACTTCTTTCTCATCCAGCCTGTTCATTGAACCAAGACTGGTTCTTGAGGCACAGTCAGGTGATTAAAAAGTCAGAAAATGAATGGAAAAGAAGCTTAAAAGATGAACACTGTCACACCTGTAATCCCAGCACTTTGGGAGGCCAAGGTGGGTGAATCAACTGAGGTCAGGAGTTCAAGACCAGCCTGGCCAACATGGTGAAACCCCCATCTCTACTAAAAATACAAAAATTAGCCAGGCGTGGTGGCGGGCGCTTGTAATCCCAGCTACTTGGGAGGCTGAGGCAGGAGAATCGCTTGAACCCAGGAGGTGGAGGTTGCAGTGAGCCGAGATCTGTGCCACTGCACTCCAGCCTGAGTGACAAGAGCAAAACTCTGTCTCAAAAAAAAAAAAAGAGATGAATACTGATAATGCAAAAAGTTTTTTAAAAACCTACAACATACTAAATACTTAAGAGTTAACTGTATTTTCTTTACAATTATTTACTGGTGGCATTTTGAATTGTTTAATCTTATTTTGAGAGGTTGCTGTTAGTGATGCTTTAACTTTTTCATATTTTCAGAAAGACTTTTATAACCATTATTTTGTTTAAAGCCTAGTTGAGTATATTGGATCCCTACTGTAGATTTAAAGGAAATAATGTTTTTTAATTGAGTCATTAAAAATGACAAAAGTAATAGATTTTTTAATAAATGTTTTTCATTCTACCTTCAGAGTTCACTGAGTGAATCAGAGGCCCTTGTTAACCTCACTTCTAGATTGTTCCAAGTGGTACGTGTCACATCTTAAGTGACTAACTGAACACATTTTACTCAACTAAGTGGCCTGGATCAATTATGCAGAGATATAGTGAAAGTTTGCCTTTCAGTGAATGTTTCCTTTTTTTAAAAAAGTTCAGTGTTTATTACATATATGTACTAGTCTCACTCAAAGACAGAAAACCACCTTTTTTCAGCATATTTGATCTAAATCTCAGAGTGAAGGAGCTATCCATAATAAACCAACTGGCTGAATGAATTCCTCTAAGCCCTTTAGAGGGCAGAGCAAACATTTGGGGTTGCAAAAAGTATGACCTGGGTACATCTGCACATGGATAAGTGAACTCAGAAAGCTCATATCACGTATTTATGTGCTATGGCTGATTTAAAAAAAAATCTTAGAATTATAATTTGGGTCTGATTTGTTAGACACCATTAAAGGGTTCTAATACAACAGCTTGTATTCTCAAGTTTCTAAATTTCCTTTTGTATGCCAAGTACCATTGCATTTATATAGCACATCTTGCTATTATTTATTAAGAGGCAAATTACTGCTTTATTTTGTCCCAGGCATATGGCTTGTACACAGTTAACTCTGTCCTTCATTGCAGTAATGAATTTTTATTTTAATCCTTTACATTTATTAATAGCTTTCCCCCATTTTTTCCCCTTTGTCTTTCCAAGGAGAGTAGAACCCCTCTTTACCTTAACTCGTAGTAAAACACTTTTAATTTTGGCCATCCAAAAAAAAAGAAAATATTTCAGGAATGTCTTTTTAACTTTTTGTTTCCTGATAAACTAACTCATCACTAGCTTTAGAGTCAGATCTTGTTGGAACCCAACTCCAACACTGACAAGCCAAGTGACCCTATCCTAGGCAAATAACATTACCTCCCTGGCCTCCTTTCTCATCAGCTTCATGTGAATGGTAGTGCCTATCTCAAAGCCAAATTGTAGGGATTACAGCAATAACTTATCTAATGTGCCTAGTACTTCTTAACCAGCAATTTCAAATGGTTCGACTTAATTGCAAGGGTTCAACAGATTATGGCTTCTGTGTTTTCCCTGGAAAGAGTCTGGCTGGGCAGGGACTTCCAGGGCTTTTGGCTTGTCTGAGATGAAATGCAGTTTATCTCATGCAAAGCTCATAGAAAATAAGGTGAGCACCTAGGTATAAGATGTTTACCTTGATGGCCAACTAAGATGGTTGATTCTTTTTGCCTTTACTACAGGCTTTCATTAGTTTTGACAGATATTCAACCAAAAGCTGGCTCTGCCCTGTCTTTTACAGAGACAAAATTATTTTCATTTATTTAGTCGTTTTCCAGTTCTGCATGGGTTGTATTGCTAAAGTACACAGAAACTTTTTTTCCTCTTTTTCCCTTTAGGAAAGCCCAAGATGGAATCTTAATTTCTTAAACAGTAAGTGTTTTGTTAAATTTCTATCGTAAGTTTTCATGACCCATGATAAGAAGAGATATTTCAGAAAAGACTGCAGAGATCACAGGATGCTACTGCTTACAGATGACACTGTTTCTGAAAGGCAAATGAATAAAGTTAAATTGCTAACTTCAACATAGCCTTGGTTTATATCTCAAACAACAAAGATATCTGAAAAAGTTTTATTTTTTATTCCAACTTCTATAGGCTTTTTTTTTTTTGCTTTCTTTGACAAAAGTGAACTTCCTTTTCTTTTACTCATTCCCAGTAGGACAAATCCTCATTTTGTTACTACAACCTTTCAGTTCCCTGCCTTAGGGCAAAGCTCCGTTTGACATTAATGGAAGCTCCAAGTCTGGCCCAGAAATGTGGGGACAAGACGCAAAGATGAGATCGTGAATGAGGCCATGAAAGTTAATATTCATAAACTCAAATGTACTTTCATGATGTTCAAATAGAGAAATAAAAATATATCAGCATTTCAGCAAAACATTTGTTATTCCTGCAAGCTTTATTATTAATTTATTTAGAAAGATGGTTGGCAGAGATACAAGGAAAAAGACCGTGGAAACTTGAACTAGGATTACAGACCCATTCCTGTTTTTCTCTCAAGGACTTAGTCTAACACTTCTCACATGTTTTCTTTTCACACATTTTCCAGTCATTCCTCATCAGGTTTCACCACTGTGTATATCATATTTTCATCAACCCAAAACTTATTGTGACACTTTGAAAACACTTTTTGAATCAAAGAGAAACCGGCACAGCTTACTAATGAAACTAGTAAGTTACCTCAACTCTCATAAATATCTTTTAATCACGAGTAATCTTTTGGTTAAATCCTTGTTCTTCTTATAACTCAGAAGTGATAGTTAATTTTTTAATTATCGAAGTTTTGTGCTCACATTGATTATATTTAATTTAAACCTTAAATGGAATAGATTTGGGGGAATTATGATGATTCCTCTTCAACATCTCAAATAAAAATTTTTCTGGCCAGGTGCGGTGGCTCACACCTGTAATCCCAGCACTTTGGGAGGCCAAGGCGGGCAGATAAGTTGAGGTCAGCAGTTTGACACCAGCCTGGCCAACATGGTGAAACCCCGTCTCTACTAAAAATACCAAAAAAAAAAAAAAAATTAGCCAGGCGTGGTTGTGGGCACCCCTAATCCCAGCTACTCAGGAGGCTGAGGCAAGAGAATCACTTGAGCCTGGAGGGGGAGGTTGCAGTGAGCCAAGATTTCCCCACTGCACTCCAGCCTGGTCAACAGAGCGAGACTCCAACTCAAAAAAAAAAAAAAATTTTTTTCTTTGGCCTTTGGAGGCCATTTCCACCTACCTAAAATGTTAATAGGATTGGCATGGATTGCTTTTTTTTTTCCTTTCCTTCTTTATACCGTATTTCATTTTTTCCTCTGTACTTTTCAAACTTTCTACAAAGCTAGTAATAAGTTAAAAAGATTTTAATCAAATAAGGTATAAACTAACTTCTTTTGTGTGTGTGTGTGAGATGGAATCTTGCTCTGTCGCCTAGGCTGGAGTGCAGTGGCCCAATCTCGGCTCACTGCAACCTCTACCTCAGGGTTCAAGCAATTCTCCTGCCTCGGCTTCCTGAGTAGCTGGGATTACAGGTGCCTGCCACTACACCCAGCTAATTTTTATATTTTTAGTAGAGATGAAGTTTCACCATGTTGGCCAGGCCTGTCTTTAGGTATATAAAAAAGTGACTTCAGGTGATCCGCCCACTTTGGCCTCCCAAAGTGCTGGGATTATGGGCATGAGCCACTGCACCTGGTCTAACCTGTTTCTTTTAGGACAAAGTTTCTCACAGTTCTGTGGAAGAAGTAGGTTTTGAACAAGATTCTGAATGGAGGTAATGCTGTGACTTGGCAGAGATGAGAGGAGAGAAGCAATGCTTAGAGAACAGTGACAGATAAGGGTTATTCCACAGGAAGCATCATTTTTGTGACCAACTTTGAAGCACATTGGAACGAGTTCAGAACTTAGGGAGGATTGTATTCACTGTCATTTTCACAGCAAAGATACTGCAAGGTCACTCTTGTGTTGTAATGATGATTCCTATAGCAATGTTTGCATAAACTAGATTCTGCTAATATATTTTCTTCGATTGACTGCTAGTTACTGCTCTGTCTAGTTCACTGGATTTTGAACATTTTTGTTGAAAACTCACATATGAAATATATTTTATATATGGCAACCCAGTATGCATAAGCATGCACACAAACACATTCACATCATATACCTAGACCTGTATCAATACCTATATCCATATCAATACCCATATTTTTAGGTATATAAAAATGTTGTACATAAAAATGTTGTGCTGCAATATTTACCTTTGCAACATAGAATACACTCCTGTTCTATTCTACTCTATCCTTCTCTATTCTATTCTCTCTTGCTCTATTCAGTTATTTCCATTCCATTGTACTCCACTTAAAAAGAAATAGTGGCTGTGACCTACTAAGGCCCATCACTTGAAAAATGCTAGCTTAGTAAATGCTTGGGTGACAAAGTCCTTCTGCCTGAAAACGGAAGCATGGCAAATATAATATTTTGTTTTTATAATATATTGTTACAACAGTCCCAGCTTAATACAAAAAAAAAGCCCAGGCCTGTGGAAGTATAAAAGATAAAATAATATTCTATAATTAGAATCACCAGGGCTTGTCTTGGGACCTTTGGTGGTGGCAAGAGAGAACTGAAAATGACTCGTGTTATGTACCTAAAGGATCTGAAGCCAGTGACTTTGTGGAGAGTACTGGAAACATCAGAAAAGGGTAATGGTTTGAGGGTATGATGTGGCCCTTTACTCTTTTTTTCAGACAGAAATTTTTGTCCATTTATGTAGTTCAAAATGATCAAACTATCAATGTGTCTTTTTCCCTGTCTTTTAAAAAATAACTTTTATTTTCTATTAATTCATAAGCATTACACAGTGAGTTATTTTTATTTCTATATCTTTCTTTATTTGCCACAGTAGAGCATATGATGTTCTATAATAATATGGAATACAGACATGTTAAAAAACAGTTTGTTTACTGAAACATTTTTCTTCTTCTTTTTTTTTTTGAGACAGAGTCTCGCTCTGTCGCCAGGCTGGAGTGCTGTGGCGCAATCTCAGCTCACTGCAACCTCTAGCTCCCTGGTTCAAGCGATTCTCCTGTCTTAGCTTCCTGAGTAGCTGGGATTACAGGCATGTGCCACCATGCCCGGCTAATTTTTGTATTTTTAGTAGAGACAAAGTTTCACCATATTGGCAAGGATGGTCTCGATCTCCTTACCTCGTGATCCACCTGCCTCGGCCTCCCAAAGTGCTGGGATTACAGGCTTGAGCCACCACGCCCAGCCTGAAACATTCTTCTTAAGAAGTTGCATGTGTGCAATTCTCTCCTCTCTTTATTTGCCAGCACTTAGTACAATTGAGAGGCCTTCTGTTTGCAAGAGGGAAGAGTTTGGCCTAAGACAGAACTTAGTTTAAATTCCAGCTTCTGACACTTAAACAGCCTTGGAATCTTAGAAAAGAGTGTAGTGTCTCAATTAGTCAGAATGTTTTCAGTGGCAAGTAACAGAATCTCAAATCAACCACTATTTCTTTTTAAGTGGTGTCCAGTGGAATGGAAATAACTGAGTAGAGGAAGACAGAATAGAATAGAGAAGGATAGAGTAGAAAAGAACAGGAGTTTATTCTATGTTGCAAGGGTAAATATTGGGCAAAAAGGGAAATCTAAGTCTAACATGACTGTGTCATTATCTTGCAAATAATGATTCCAGGCATCTATGACTCTTTCTTTCAGAACTCTCTTTCTTTCTCTGTGTTAGCTTTATTCTCAGTCTCACTATAAGTCTCCTTGTGTTAGCAAAAAAAAGGTCTCTAACAGCTCCAAACTTGTATTCTACAGTTTAACAACTCCAAGGGAAAGAGAACTACATTCCTAAATGTTTTAGAAAAATGCTCTGGGGCTAATGTTGATTGGTTATAATTCATCTGAATTGAGTCATATGCCCATCTCTGAACTAATTGCTATAACAAAGAAGATGCATTGCCTTCACTTGCTAAGCATGGGTCACGAACCCACCCCTACAACCTGGAGAGGATCCATCCATCTGAACCACATGAGTGAAGAGTAAGGGTTCTCCAAAGGAAAATTAGAAAACACAAGGTGAATAAGAGGCAAAAAATAATAGCCACTTCATCTCATAAAGCTTTAGTTTCTTTATATCTAAAATTTGGATGAATTTTGAATAAATTTTCTCTGAAGATTAGAAATAGGGAGAAGATTAAAAAAATCTGGCAAAAGAGTAGTTACTCAATGAGAGAGCAAATGAAAATAACAAAGCAAACAGAGTAAAATGGTAACAACAGGGGAATTAGGTAAAAGGATACATTAGTTTTCCTTTTACTATTTTTATTTTTTAAAGTTTGAAATTATTTCCATATAAAATATATTTTTCCATATAAAAAAGAGCATCTCTGACTTCTGGTTTCCTGTTCCACATGTAAAGACCTTGGAAACAATGGCTGTGTCCTAACAACGAGTGAAAAAAGAACTGAACAAACGGAAAAAGCAATAACTCTTCTTGAGTCTTAAAGAAAGAGGAGGACATGAGGCAAGCCACTGCCCTCAAAGTGGAGAGACAGGTGGATACAGCGAATGCCAGAGCAGATGTGCAAGCTGAGACGTCAGGAAGCAGCGTCAGGGGAGGAAAACACAAACCGCAGTGGACAAATTGATGGAGGCTCATTGTGGACACTTCTGAGAGAGAAAAACTCCAGGAGAACCCAGTTATAGGGAGGCTCCCACAATACTGTGAGATTTATGTTCAGGAGATCAAGCAAATTACCACAGTAAATGCCGGAGGAAAAAATCTCCTCACACTTCTGTCAGGGGGATGGGAAAAGGAACCATTTTGAAAGATATCAGAGCATTTTGTTCTTAACAAGAGCCTCAGGAGAAGCTAATTAACAGAAGTCTAACCTTCTGGGGCATTATCAGAGCCTAACTAACCTGGAGAAGGGAAATATCCAAATCCACTCAGCTCTGGCCTTTCACATAGGAGAAGGGAAATATCCAACTCTGCATCCTCTAGCTTTCCATGTTGGGGAAAGGAAAATACCCAGCTCCAGCCTCCTCTAACCATACTGTTCCACTTAAGTGAGGGGACTGGAAGGCACTGTGAAGTAACAGCCCAGAGGCACAGCCTCACTAAAAGAGTTGAAACTTAATCATAGGACTACAGAACACTCTTTCTTCCCTCATACCTTATCACCACATGACTAAGGCCTACTTAACCGAATTATTTTTTACCCAGTAAATCATGTCTTCCTCTAAACAAAAAATTACAAGTTATACTGTAAGGCAGAAAAACAGTTTGAAGAGGCTGAATAAGCATCTGAACCAACCATACATGGCGGGAATGTTGGAATTAAGCCAAGAATTTTTTAAACTATAATTAATATGATAATGGCTTTAATGGAAAAACTAAGCATGCAAAAAGGGGCAGATTATATAAGCAGAAAGATGGAAATTCTAGGACTGAATCAATCAGAAATACTAGATATCAAAAATGCATCCACAGGAATAAAGTATGCCTTTAATGGGTTCATTAGTAAACTGGACAAGGCTGAGGAAAGACTCTCTTAGCCTGAGGATATGACCATGGAAACTTCCAAAATTGAAAAGCAAAGTGAAAACAGAAAAAAAATAGAACAGAATATCCAAGCTCTGTGGGACAACTAGAAAACATGTAATCTATTCATACTGAGGAATACCAGGAGAAGAAAGAGAGAAACAGAACAAATATTTGAAACAATAATGACTAAAAATTTCCAAAGATTAACGTCAGACACCAAGTTATAAAATTAGGAAGCTCAGAGACCATTAAACAGGATAAATGCCCAAAAAACAACAGCTAGGCCTACTATATTCAAATTATAGAAAATGGAAGATAAAAACTTCTGAAAGAAGCCAGGGGCGAGGGAAGGGGACGTGGGGAGGGGTCAGGGAACCTTTCCTATAAAGCAGGGGTCCTCACCCCTGGGCCAGAGACCTGTACTGATCTGTGGCCTGTTAGGAAATGGGCTGCACAGCAGCAGGTGAACGGCAGCAATGGAGTATTACCACCTGAGCTCCGCCTCCTGTCAGATCAGCTGCAGCATTAGATTCTCATAGGAGCGTGAACGCTATCGTGAACTGCACATGCAAGGGATCTAGGTTGCACACTCCTTATGAGAATCCAATTAATGCCTGATGATCTGAGGTGGAAGACTTTCAACCCAAAACCAATCCCACCCCCTGACCCCATCTGTGGAAAAATTGTCTTCCATCAAACTGGTTCCTGATGTCAAAAAGTCTGGGGACTGCTGCTTAGAAAAGCAAATTATATTTGACTTCTCAGAAACTATGCAAGCAAGAATAAAGCGGAATCAAATCTATATAGTATTGAGAGAAAAAAACCACTAATCTAGAACCTTGTACCCTGTGAAATTATTCTTCAAAAGTGAAGAAGAAATAAAGAGTTTCTTAGACAAATAAAAATGGAGAAAATTTGTTGCCAGTAGGCCTGCCTTGCAAGAAATGTTAAAAGAAGATCATCAGAAAGAAGGAAAGTGACCTAGGTCAGAAACTCGCATCTACGTGAAGAAAATAAGACCAACAAAGAGAAGATAAGTGAAAGTAAGAAAAAAACTTTTCTGATTGTTGATTGATCTAACAGATAATAATTTTTTCAAAATAACAATAGTAACAATGTTTTTGATTATATATGTTTATGTATGATTATATATGAGTGAAATGAATGACAGCAGTGATACAAAGAATGTGCTGAAGAAATTCAATTTTTTAAGTTATTCACACTATCTCTGAAATGCTATTGTATAATTTAAAAGTGGATTTGGATTAGGTGTAAATGTTTATTGCAAACACTAGGAAAACCTTTTTTAAAAATAAAGAAGAAAAATAAATAAGCTAAGAAGGGAAAGAAAATGGATCTGTAAAATAATCAATTAAAACCACAAAAAGCAGAAGTAATGGGAGACAAAAACAGAAATAAAGAACAGAGGGGCCAGGCATGCTTGTAATACCAGTACTTCGGGAGGCCAAGGCAGGAGGGTTGCTTGAGGCCAGGAGTTTGAGACCAGCCTGGGCAATACAGTGAGACACCATCTCTACAAAAAAAATTTTTTTTAATTAGCTCAGCATGGTGGCACATGCCTGTAGTCCTAGCTACTCAGGAGGCTGAGGCAGGAGGATCTCTTGAGCCCAGGAGTTTGAGACCACAGTGAGCTGTGATCATACTACTGCACTTCACACTTGGTGACAGAGTGAGACATCTGAAGAAGGAAAGAAAGAAAAGAAGACCTTGGGGAGGGCCCAGGAAGATGGCCTAATAGGAACAGCTCCAGGAAATGCAAGGGGTCGGGGGATTTCCCTTTCCTAGCCAAGGGAAGCCATGAGAGGCTGTACCAGGAGGAACAGTATACTCCTGCCCAGATACTGCACTTTTCCCACAGTCTTCGCAACTGGCAGACCAGGAGATTCCCTCCAGTGCCTGGCTTGGCAGGTCCCTTGCCCACAGAGCCCTGCAAAGTAAAATCCATTGGCTTGAAATCCTCGCTGCTAACGCAGCAGTCTGAGATAGACCTGGGACGCTCGAGCTTGGTGGAGCAGGGACGTCCACCATTACTGAGGCTTGAGTAGGCAGTTTTATGCTCGCAGTGTAAACAAAGCTGCCAGGAAGTTTGAACTGGGCAGAGCCCACTACAGCTAAGCAAGGCTGACTGCCTCTCTAGATTCCACCTCTGTAGGCAGGGCATCTCTGAACAAAAGGCAGCAGCCCTAGTCAGGCACTTACAGATAAAACCCCCATCTCCCTGGGACAGAGCACCTGGGGTAAGGGGCAGCTGTGGGCACAGCTTCAGCAGACTTAAATGTCCCTGACTGATAGCTCTGAAGAGAGCAGTGGTTCTCCAGCATAGCATTCAAGCTCTGAACAGACAGACTGCCTCCTCAAGTGGGTCCCTGACCCCCAGGTAGCCTGACTGAGAGACATCTCCCAGTAGGGGCTGACAGACAACTCATACAGGAGAGCTCTGGCTGGCATCTGGTGGGTGTCCCTCTGGGACGAAGCTTTCAGAGGAAGGATCAGGCAGCAATAGTTGCTGTTCTGCAGCCTCTGCTGGTGATACCCACAAAAACAGTCTGGAGTGGACCTCCAGCAAACTCCAACAGACCTGCAGCTGAGGGTCCTGACTGTTAGAAGGAAAACTAACAAACAGAAAGGAATAGCATCAACATCAACAAAAAGGACATCCACATCAAAACCCCATCAGTAGGTCACTAACTTCAAAAACCAAAGTAGATAAAACCACAAAGATGGGGAGAAACCACAGCAGAATGGCTGAAAATTCCAAAAACCAGAACACCTGTTCTCCTCCAAAGGCTCACAACTCCTTACCAGCAAGGGAACAAAACTGGATGGAGAATGAGTTTGACGAATTGACAGAAGTAGGCTTCAGAGGTAGGTAATAACAAACTCCTCCAAGCTAAAGGAGCATGTTCTAAACCAATGCAAGGAAGCTAAGAACCTTGAAAAAATGTTAGACGAAATGCTAACTAGAAAAACCAGTGTAGAGAAGAACATAAACGACCTGATGGAGCTGAAAAACACAGCATGAGAACTTCATGAACCATACACAAGTTTCAATAGCCAAATCGTTCAAGCAGAAGAAAGGATATCAGTGACTGAAGATCAACTTAATGAAATTAAGCAAGGAGACAAGATTAGAGAAAAAGAGTAAAAAGAAATGAACAAAGCCTCCAAGAAATATGGGACTATGTGAAATGACCAAATTTATGTTTGATTGGTATACCTGAAAGTGACAAGGAGAAGGGAACTAAGCCGGAAAACACTCTTCAGGATATTATCCAGGAGAACCTCCCCAACCTAGCAAGGCAGTCCAACATTCACATTCAGGAAATACAAAGAACAGCACAAAGATATTCCTTGAAAAGAGCAACCCCAAGACACATAATCATTAGATTTACCAAGGTTGAAATAAAGGAAAAAATGTTAAGGGCAGCCAGAGAGAAAGGTTGGGTTACCCACAAAGGGAAGCCCATCACACAAACAGCGGATTTCTCGGCAGAAACTCTACAAGCCAGAAGAGAGTGGGGGCCAATATTCAGCATTCTTAAAGAAAAGAATTTTCAACTCAGAATTTCATATCCAGCCAGACTAAGCTTCATAAGAGAAGGAGAAATAAAATCCTTTACAGACAAGCAAATGCTGAGAGATTTTGTCACCACCAGGCCTGCCTTACAAGAGCTCTTGAAGGAAGCGCTAAACATGGAAAGGAACAACCAGTACCAGCCACTGCAAAAACATGTCAAATTGTAAAGACCATCAACACTATGAAAAAACTGCATCAACTAACAAGCAAAATAATCAGCTAGCATTATAATGACAGGATCAAAATAACACATAACAATATTAACTTTAAATGTAACTGGGCTAAATGCCGCAATTAAAAGACACAGACTGGCAAACAGGATAAAGAATCAAGATCCATCAATGTGCTGTATTCAGGGGACACATCTCACATGCAAAGACACACATAGGCTCAAAATAAAGGGATGGATGAAGATTACCAAGCAAATGGAAAGCAAAAAAAAGCAGGAGTTGCAATCCTAGTCTCTGATGAAACAGACTGTAAACCAACAAGGGTCAAAAGAGACAAAGAAGGCCATTACATAATGGTAAAGGAATCAATGCAACAAGAGCTAACTATCCTAAATATACATGCACCCAATACAGGAGCACCCAGATTCATAAAGCAAGTTTTTAGAGACCTACAAAGAGATTTAGACTCCCACATGATAATAGTCGGAGACTTTAACACCCTAACACCCTACAGATCAATAAGACAGAAAATTAACAAGGATATCCAGGATTTGAATTCAGCTTTGGACCAAGTGGACCTAATAGATATCTACAGAACTCTCCACCCTCGATCAACAGAATATACATTCTTCTCAGCACCACATCACACTTATTCTAAAATTGACCACATAACTGGAGTAAAACACTCCTCAGCAAATGTAAAAGAACAGAAATCACAATAAACTGTCTCTCAGACCACAGTGCAAACAAATTAGAACTCAGGATTAAGAAACACTAAAAACCACACAACTACAAGGAAACTGAACAACCTGCTCCTAAATGACTACTGGGTAAATAACGAAATGAAGACAGAAATAAAGATGTTCTTTGAAACCAATGGGAACGAAGATAAAACGTACCAGAATCTCTGGGACACATTTAAAGTAGTGTGTAGAGGGAAATTTATAGCACTAAATGCCCACAAGAGAAAGCAGGAAAGATCTAAAATCGACACCTAACATCACAGTTAAAAGAACTAGAGAAGCAACAGCAAACAAATTCAAAAGCTAGCAGAAGAAGACGACAAGAAATAACTAAGATCAGAGCAAAAATGAAGAAGATAGAGGCACAAAAAAACCTTCAAAAAAAAATCAATAAATCCAGGAGCTGGTTTTTTGAAAAGATCAACAAAATAGGTAGATTAATAAAGAAGAAAAGAGAGGAGAATCAAATAGACGCAATAAAAGATGATAAAGGGGATATCACCGCCAATCCCACAGAAATACAAACTACCATCAGAGAATACTATAAACACCTCTATGCAAACAAACTAGAAAATCTAGAGGAAATGGATAAATTCATGGACAAGTACACTCTCCGAAGACTAAACCAGGAAGAAGTCAAATCTCTGAATAGAACAATAATAGGTTCTGAAATTGAGGCAGCAATTAATAGCATACCAACAAAAAAAGTCCAGGACCAGACAGATTCACAGTCGAATTCTACCAGAGGTACAAAGAGAAGATGGTACCATTCCTTCTGAAACTATTCCAAATAATAGAAGAAGAGGGACTCCTCCCTAACTCATTTTATGAGGCCAGCATCATCCTGATACCAAAACCTGGCAAAGACATAACAAAAAAAAGAAAATTTTAGGCCAACATCCCTGATGAACATAGATGCAAAAATTTTCAATAAAATACTGACAAACCGAATCCAGCAGCACATCAAAAAGCTTATCCACCACGATCAAGTCGGCTTCATCCGTGGGATGCAAGACTGGTTCAACATACACAAATCAATAAACATAATCCATCACATAAACAGAACCAACGACAAAAACCACATGATTATTTCAATAGATGCAGAAAAGGCCTCTGGCTTGGTTCCATTCTCCCCATCATTTTCAGGTATACCAACAGCGCTTCATGCTAAAAACTCTCAATAAACTAGGTATTGATGGAACGTATTTCAAAATAATAAGAGCTATTTAGGACAAACCCACAGCCAACATCATACTGAATGGGCAAAAACTGGAAGCATTCCCTTTGAAAACTGGCACAAGACAAGGATGCCCTCTCTCACCATGCCTATTCGACATAGTATTGGATGTTCTGGCCAGGGCAATCCGGCAAGAGAAATAAATAAAGGTATTCAATTAGGAAAAGAGGAAGTCAAATTGTCTCTGTTTGCAGATGACATGATTGTATATTTAGAGAACCCCATCATCTCAGCGCCACATCTCCTTAAGCTGATAAGCAATTTCAGCAAAGTCTCAGGATACAAAATCAATGTGCAAAAATCACAAGCATTCTTGTACACCAATAACAAACAGAGAGCCAAATCATGAGTGAACTCCCATTCACAATTGCTTCAAAGAGAATAAAATACCTAGGAATCCAACTTACAAGGGATGTGAAGGACTTCTTCATGGAAAACTACAAACCACTACTCAAGGAAATAAAAGAGGGCACCAACAAATGAAAGAATATTTCATTCTCATGGATAGAAAGAATCAGTATCATGAAAATGGCCATACTGCCCAAGGTAATTTATAGATTCAATGCCATCCCCATCAAGCTAACAATGACTTTCTTCACAGAATTGGGAAAAATTACTTTAAACTTCATATGGAACCAAAAAAGAGCTGCATTGCCAAGACAATCCTGGGCAAGAAGAACAAAGCTGGAGGCATCACACTACCTGACTTCAAACTATACTACAAGGCTACAGTAACCAAAACAGCATGGTACTGGTACCAAAACAGAGATATAGACCAATGGAACAGAACAGACACCTCAGAAATAATACCACACATCTACAACCATCTGATCTTTGACAAACCTGACAAAAACAAGAAATCAGGAAAGGATTCCCTATTTAATCAATGGTGCTGGGAAAACTGGCTAGCCATATGCAGAAAGCTGAAACTGGATCCCTTCCTTACACCTTATACAAAAATTAACTCAAGATGGATGAAAGACTTAAATGTAAGACCTAAAACCATAAAAACCCCAAGAAGAAAACCTAGGCAATAGCATTCAGGACATAGGCATGGGCAAAGACTTCATGACTAAAACCCCAAAAGCAATGGCAACAAAAGCCAAAATAGACAAATGGGATCTAATTAAATTAAAGAGCTTCTGAACAGCAAAAGAAACTACCATCAGCATGAACAGGCAACCTACAGAATGGGAGAAAATTTTTGCAATCTATCCATCTGACAAAGGACTAATATTCAGAATCTGCAAAGAACTCAAACAAATTTACAAGAAAAAAACAAACAAACAACCCCATCAAAAAGTGGGCAAAGGATATGAACAGACACTTCTCAAAAGAAGACATTTATGCAGCCAACAAACTTATGAAAAAATGCTCATCATCACTGGTCATTAGAGAAATGCAAATCAAAACCACAATGAGATATAACATCTCACACCAGTTAGAATAGCAATCATTAAAAAGTCAGGAAACAACAGATGCTGGAAAGGATGTGGAGAAATAGGAACACTGTTACACTGTTGGTGGGAGTGTAAATTAGTTCAACCATTGTGGAAGACAGTGTGGCAATTCTTCAAGGATCTAGAACTAGAAATACCATTTGGCCCAGCAATCCTATTACTGGGTATACACCCAAAGGATTATAAATCATTCTACTATAAAGACACATGCACACATATGTTTATTGCAGCACTGTTCACAATAGCAAAGTTTTGGAACCAACTCAAATGCCCATCGATGATAGACTGGATAAGGAAAATGTGGCACATATACACCATGGAATACTATGCAGCCATAAAAAAGAAGGGGTTCATGTCCTTTGCAGGGACATGGATGAAACTGGAAACCATCATTCTCAGCAAAGTAACCCAAGAACAGAAAACCAAACACTGCATGTTCTCACTTATAAGTGGGAGTTGAACAATGAGAACAAACGGACACAGGAAGGAGAAAATTACACACTAGGGCCTGTCAGGGAGTGGGGGGCTGGGGGAGGGATAGCATTAGGAGAAATACTTAATGTAAATGACGAGTTGATGGGTGTAGCAAACCAACATGGCACATGAATACCTATGTAACAAACCTGCATGTTCTGCACATGTACCCCAACGCTTAAAGTATAATTCTAAAAAAAGAAAGAAAGAAAAGAAAAGAAAGCCTTGAAGAGAAATCAGTACAAATATGGTAGATGTTAATCCAACCATCAACAATCATTTTGAACATCAAAAGTTTAAATGCACCATCTATAAGACAGATATTGTTTGAGTAGATTAAAAAAAAATACCAAACTATATATTGTCTGGAAGAAGCCCCTTTTAAATATAAAGGCACATATAGTTTAGAATTAAATGAATAGAGAAAAATATGGCATGTTAACACTAATCAGAAGAAAATGGAATAGCTATATTAATTTCAGACAAAGATGACTTCAAAGCAAGGAACGTTATCAGGGATACAGAAGAGCGCTACATAATGATAAGGGGGTCAATTCTAATAATATATAACAATTCTTCATGTATACTCACCTAACAACAGTGTCAAAACAGCTGGGGCAAACACTGATAGCACTGCAAAGGGAGAAATAAATGAATTCATCATTATAGCTGGAGACTTCAACATCTCTTTTTCAGAAATGGACACATCCAGCAGACATAACATTAGTAAGGACCTAGTTGAACTAAACAACACCATCAATCAACTGTATATAACTGGCATCTATAGATTATTTTATCCAGCAACAGCTAATTACAAATTATTCTCAAACTCATATGAAACATTCATGGATATAGACCTTATTCAGGACCATATGTCACATCTTAACAAATTCAAAAGAATATAAATTAGGCAGTGTCTGCTTTCAGACCAAATGAAATTAAACTAGAAGTCAATAACAAAAAGATAATTGGAAAATACCAAATCCCAAAATGCACACAGATTAAGCCACATGCTTTTTTTTAAAAAAAAATACAGGGTCTCATTCTGTTACCCAGACTGAAGTTCAGTGGCATGATCATAGATCACTGCATCCTCAAACTCCTGGGCTCAAGCAATCCTCCTGCTTCAGCCTCCTGAGTAGCTAGGACTACAAGCACACACCACCATGCTGCACTAATTTTTTTATAACTTTTGTAGAGACAGGGTCTTGCTGTTTTGCCCAGGCTGGTCAGCAACATGATTTTAAATAACATGGGGTTCAAAGAAGAAATCTCAAGAGAAAATTTAAAATATAAAATTTGTGAAATACAGCAAAAGCAGTGCTTAGAGGAAAATTTATAGTGTTAAAATGCACATATTAGTAAAAAAAATCTAAAATCAATATTCTAAGTTCCTATCTCAGAAAACTAGAAAAAGAAGAGCAAATTAAATCCAAAGTAATCAGTAGGAAAAAAAATAAGTATCAGAGCAAAAACCAAGTTAATAAAATTGAAAATAAGACATCAATAGAGAAAATCAATAAAATCAAAAGCTGGTTCTTTGAAAAGTTCAATAAAATTAATTAGCCTTTAGCCAGGTAAACTAGGAAAAAAGAGAACAGAATCTACTAATATCAGAAAAGAAAGACATGACATCATTACAGAGCCTATAAACATTAAAAGGATAATAAAGAAATACTGCAAACACCACCACACACACAAATGTGATAACCTAGATAAAATGGAACAATTTATTGAAGAACACAATTTGCCAAAACTCACAGAAAAAGAAATAAGACAATTTGAATAGCCCCATATTAAGGAAATGGAATTGAAAATAAACTTCCAAAACAGAAAGCACCAAGACCGAATAAGTTTACTGATGAATTCTCCAAAATATTTAGAAAGAAATGTTAGCAATTCTCTACAATTTCTTTCACAGTAGAGAAGCAGAGGGAATATTTCCTAACTCATTTTATGAGGCCAATATTACTCTAATACCCAAACTGGACAAAGACATTAGAAGAAATAAAAACTACAGATCAATACATTTTATGAAAATAGCTGTAAAAATCCTCAGTAAATCATATCAAACAATGTATATAAAATCATACACCATGACCAAGTGGTATTTATCCTTGATATACAAGTTTGGTTCAACATTTGAAAATCAATTTTTGTATTCCATCACATCAACAAGCTAATAAATAAAAACCACATTATCATATCAATAGATGCAAAAAACGCATTTGACAAACTCTAACATTCATTCATAATAAAAAGGCTTAGTAAACTAGAAATGGAGGGGAACTTCATCAACTTGAGAGAGAATATATACAAAAACCCTACAGCTAACCTATAGTTAGCATGATACTTAATGGTGAGAAACATAAAACTTTCCCAGTAATTTCAAGAACAAGGCAAGGATGTCTCTTCTCATCACATTTTATCAACATTGTACTGGAAGTTTAGCTAATACAACAAGACAGAAAAAGGAAAGGAAATAATATGTATACAGGTTAAGAAGGAAGAAGTGTAACTCTTTATGTAAAGATGATATGATTCTCTCAAAGAATTGATTTAAAACAAACAAAAAATACTCCTGGAACTACTAAGCAATTTTAGCAAGGCTCCAGGATACAAAGTTAATATAAAAAAGTCAATAGTGGCCAGGTACAGTGGCTCACGCCTGTAATCCCAGCATTTTGGGAGTCCAAGCTGAGCAGATTGCTTGAGCCCAGGAGTTTGAGACCAGTCTGGTCAACATGGAGAAAACCTGTCTTTACTAAAAAAATGGAAAAAATTGCCAGGCGTGGTGATGCATGCTTGTAGTTCCAGCTACTCGAGAGGCTGAGGTGGGAGGATCACCTGAGTCCAAGATGCAGAGGTTGCAGTGGGCTGAGATTGCACCACACCACTGCACTCCAGCCTGGACCATAGAGCAAGACCCTGTCTCAAAAAAAAATGAATAAATAAGTCAATAGATTTTCCATATACCAGCAATGAACAAGGGGAATTTGAAATTAAAAACACAATAACATTTACATTAGCACACCCCAGAAAGTACTTAAGTATAAATCTTACAATATATGTACAAGATTTATATGAGTGAACCCACAAAATTCTAATGAAAGCTATCAAAGAAGAACTAAATAAATGGAGAGATATTCCATATTCATGGATAGAAAGTATCAACATTATCAAGATGTCAGTTCTTCCCAACTTGGTCTATAGATTTAAAATAATTACAATGAAAATCCAAGTTACTTTGTAGATATTGACAAATTGATTCTAAAGTTTATGGGGGAAGGAAAAAAATCTAGAATAGTCCAGATGACATTGAAGAAAAAGAACAAAGTTAGAGACTGACACCACATGACTTTAAAACTTACTACAAAGCTACAGTAATCAACACAGTGTGATATTGGTGAAAGAATATACAAATAGATCAATAGAACAGAATAGAGATCCCAGAAACAGACCCACATAAATACAGTCAACTGATCTTTGTCAAAAGAGCAATGTAATAGATAAAAGATACTCTTCAACAAATGATGCTGGAATAACTGCACACCTAGCTGCGAAAAAAAAAAAAAAAAAGAATCTAAACAGAAATCTTACACCCTTCAGAAAAATCAACTCAATATGAACCATATACCTAAATGTTAACCACAAAACTAGAAAACTCCTAGAAGATAACATAAGAGATAACCTAGATGACCTTGGGCGTAACAGTGACTTTTTAGATAAAACATCAAAAGCACCATCCATGATAGAAATAATTGATAAGCTGGACTTCATTAAAATTAAAAACTCCTCTGTGAAAGACAATTTCAAGAGAATGGGAAGAGAAGCCACAGACTGGGAGAAAATATTTGCGAAAGACACATATGAAAAGGGCTGTTATCTAAAATATACAAAAACTCTTGAAACTCAAGAATAAGAAAACACACAATCTTTAAAACTGGGCCAAAGACTCAGACACCTCACCAAGAAAAAACATGAATGCAAATGCAAATAAGCATGTGAAAAGATGCTTTGCTTCATATGTCATCAGAGAAATGCAAATTAAACAATAATGAGATAGCATTACACACATATTAGACTGTCCAAAGTCTGGAACACCAGTAACACAAAATGTTGTCCAGGATGCCAAGCAACAGGAACTTTCATTCATTGCTGGTGGGGATGCAAAATGGTACAGCTACTGTTGAAGAGAGTTTGGCAGTTTCTACAAAACTGAATATACTCTTACCACACAACTTAGCAAATGCATTTCTTGGCATTTATGCAAAAGAGTTGGAAAGTTATGTCCACACACACATACACACAAAAATGCACATGAATGTTTATAACAGCTTTAGTCATAGTTGCCAAAACTTGGAAACAATCAAGATATCCTCAGTGAATGAACAAATTAATAAACTGTGGTACACTCAGACATTAGAATATTATTCAGTGCTAAAAAGAAATGAGCTACAAAGATATGGAGGAATGTATATTATATATATATTATATTAAGTGTATATTATTAAGTGAAAGATACCAATCTGAAAAATCTATATGCTGTATGATTCCAACACGATCTTCTGGAAAGGCAAGACTAAAAGATCACTGGTTGCCAGGGATTGCAGGAAGGAAGAAATGAATACATGGAGCACAGATGATTTTAAGGGCAGTGAAAATACTCCATATGGTGCTATAATTATGCATATGTATCTTCATATTTACATTTGTCTAAACCCACAGAATGTACGACACCAAGAACAAACTGTAATGTACACTACAGACTTTGGGTGATTATGATGTGTCAACGTAGGTTCATCAATTGCAACAAATGTACCACTCTGGTAAATAATGTTGATAATAAGGCAAGCTATGCATATGTAGGGGCATGGAGAATGGGAAATCTATGTACTTCCCCTTAATTTTGCTATGAACCTAAAAATACTCTAAAAAAATAAGTAAACAAAAATAGTAGGTTCTCAGTAACCATTAATATTACCCCAAGCCTAGCTCAGCACTATGTATCATTATGAAGATGGCTTTGTTTTGATCTTCCTAAATGTGTAGAACTTTACATTATTTTCAAAGGCAATTTAATACAGACGTTGGTGCCAGGGCATTTAAACAAATATTTTTTAAAAATTTATATGAGGCTAAGTTAGAGATTCTATCACATTCATAATATGTTATGAGCTATCACAAATATTTTAAAATGTCAATCTAAAGAAATTCTATTTCTTTTCCAAACATTTCCAGAGCTCACTTGGAAAAAATATTTTTTTCTAGATATGAAGCTCCTGATATTAGGTAAAGAAACCTAATCAGTTGCTTAAGCAATAAAAGAGAAAGTGAGAAACAGGACCTGAAGGGTATTCTAAGGATAAAGGAGCAAGGGTTTTTCATTTTTTCTCAAAAGAGAAAGACAAGGAATTACAAAATATCTAGGAACAATTTAGGAACAAATTAGGAGACCCATTTAGGAATTTTTAAAAATCACTCATATTTGAATTTACAAGAAAAACGTTCCCATGAGTCATAAAAAATGAGTGTAATTCTGTGAGGAATCTTGATTTGTCTATGGATTTAAATGAATTCTTGATGTGTCACATAATCAAATGTGGTTTGTACTACGTGATGTAAACAGCCCTAGAATTCCCCTTCCTGCTGAGAACTTAATGACTAAATCCTCAGAGCTGAGAAGACACAGGCTACACAAATCTTGAAAGCATCAGATTCACCAGCCCATGTTCAGGAAGCCATTTCTCATAGCTGGAAGCCAACCAGCCATCCTGGGCTCTGGAAAATGTGATGACGTTTACAGTGTGATTTGAGCAACTTGTGCAGAACTGTGAGACTCAGGATACAATGTCTACATGCTCAAGACTTACCATCCCCAAACACCATTTAGTTCACTTTTTACATTAATTATCTCACTAAGAGAGAAAATGGAAATGTGAAAAAACGGCATGAAGAAACAAGCGAAAAACCAACCATAGCAGTGAACAGAAAGCCCCAGAATCAGACTTGACCTGTCTTCATCTTTTTACCTGGGCCAACCTGACTGAAAGCTGAAGTTTCTGAAGGAAAAACAAAGATGACTATGTCTGAATATCATAAATACTTAGACAAGCATTAAATATGGCAGCATGAACAAGATTGTATCTAGCTCCTGTTTTGTAGGTGGAAAAATTGAGACAAAAATGTTAAGTAATGTGGCTTTCATAGTACCTACAAAAATGAGGACTCTAAGGTGAGGGAATTCACTTCTCTGAATTATGAGGACAAATAAGTTTATACTTGGAAAAAATACAAAATACAGCCCAGATAAAAAGCAAATAGCCTTTAGATAACTACGGAACCAAAAGTGTTAATACTTGTTTTCGAATTCTGTGACTTACCGATTGCTAGTCTATCTACCTTGTTTGGTAGGACATATCAGCGATGCACTTGTGGGCATTTATCTCCACATTCCTCCTGAATGAAGGCCAGAGGTAAAAGAGGAATCAGGAAGCAGGAGAAAATGTAAAGGTTTCCATTTTAAATTCCAGAACTTAGATATAAAAGGTTTTTGTGTAGTGTTGCCATGTACAACGTATATTTGTTGTGTTTTAGCTGTCTGTATCTATTCCTCTTTGATTTGGAAACACTTTCTCAATCCCTTGAGTGAATTTTCACTCCACTGCTATGTTTGCTGGCTTCATGGGATTATTAGTCCAGGTGCCGCTATTCAAGTGCTGGGCCTATGACTCCAGTTAGGCTAATTGTATTCTCCCTTGAAGGACTTGGAATCTTGAGTCAAGATGCAAAGATCTAAAACCCCGACAGGTGTTTAATTTTAAGACGGAAGACATTGAGGCCAGGTGTGGCGGCTCATGACTGTAATCCCAGCACTTTGGGAGGCCAAGGTGGGTGGATCACCTGAGGTCAGAACTTTGAGACCAGCCTGGCCAAAATGGCAAAACCCCGACTCCACTGAAACTACAAAAACTAGCCAGGCGTGGTGGTGCACACCTATAATCCCAGCTGCTCTGCAGACTGAGACAAGAGAATTGCTTGAACCCGTGAGGTGCAGGTTGCAGTGAGCCAAGATGGTGCAACTGCACTCCAGCCTGGGTGACAAGGCTTGCAAGACTCTGTCTCAAAAAAAAGAAAAAAGAAACTGCCCACCACATCCTGCCACATGAACTCCTAGTGCCTCTCTCTCCCTGGGTCTACACTTTCCCCTTTTGTTCTGAAACTTAGCCAGTACCATTTCAATTAATGTATTAATATTTTTCATTTGAATCTCAGTCTTTGGGTTGCTCACAGCTATAGTAGGGAAGATGTTGGCTCTCAAGATCTTAGCACACCGTCTGACACTTAGAAGGCCTTCAGTAAATACTTTTTGAATTGTGTTAGGAATTGGTGGGTTCTTGGTCTCACTAACCTCAAGAATGAAGCCACTGATTCTCGCAGTGAGTACAGTTCTTAAAGGCAGCATGTCCAGAGTTTGTTCCTTCTGATGTTCAGATGTGTTCGGAGTTTCTTCCTTCTGCTGGGTTCGTGGTCTCGCTAGCTTCAGGCGTGAAGCTGCAGACTTTCGCAGTGACTGTTACAGCTCTTAAGGCAGCACATCTGGAATTGTCCATTCCTCCCAGTGGGTTCGTGGTTTCGCTGCCCTCAAGAGAAAATGCAGACCTTCGCGGTGAGTGTTAAGCTCATAAAGGCAATGTGGACCCAAAGAGTGACAAGCAGCAAAATTTATTGCAAAGAGCAAAAGAACGCTGCAAAAGGAGACCCCAGCAGGTTGCCACTGCTGGCTCAGCAGCCTGCTTTTATTGCCTTATCTGGCCCCACCCACATCCTGCTGATTGGTCCATTTTACAGAGAGCTGATTGGTCCGTTTTGACAGGCTGCTGATTGGTGCATTTACAATCCCTGAGCTAGACACAAAAGTTCTCCAAGTCCCCACTAGATTAGCTAGCTACAGATTGCCAATTGTTGCATCCACAAACCTTGAGCTAGATACAGAGTGCTGATTGGTGCATTTACAAACCTTGAGCTAGATACAGAGTACTGATTGGTGTATTCACAATCCCTCAGCTAGACCTAAAGGTTCTCCACGTCCCCACCAGATCAGCTAGACATAGAGTGCTAATTGGTGCATTTACAAACCTTGAGCTAGACACAGCGTGCTGATTGGTGTATTCACAATCCCTTAGAGAGACATGAAGATTCTCCAAGTCCCCACTAGACTCAGGAGCCCAGCTGGCTTCACCTAGTGGATCCTGCACCAGGGCCACAGGCAGAGCTGCCCGCCAGTCCTGCCGTGCGCCTGCACTCCTCGGCCCTTGGGTGGTTGATGGGACCTGGCGCTGCGGAGCAGGGGGCGCAGCTCGTCCGGAGGCTCAGGCCGTGCAGGAGCCCATGGCGGCCGGGGAATGGGGGAGTCTCAGGCCCAAGCCCTGCCCCACAGGGAGGCAGCTGAGGCCCTGCCAGAACTTGAGTGCAGCACTGGCGGCGGGCCGGCACTGCTGGGGGACCCGGTGCACCCTCCACAGCTGCTGGCCCAGTTACTAAGTCCCTCACTGCCCGAGGCCGGCGGCGCCAGCCGGCCGCTCGGAGTGCGGGGCCCGCCGAACCCACGCCCTCCCGGAACTCGCGCTGGCCCACAAGCGCCGCGCGCAGCCTGGGTTCCCGCCCACGCCTCTCCCTCCACGCCTCCTCTCAAGCTGAGGGAGCCGGCTCTGGCCTCCGCCAGCCCAGAAAGGGGCTTCCACAGTGCAGCGGCGGGCTCAAGAGCTCCTCAAGCGCGGCCAGAGTGGGCGCCTAGGCCGAGTAGGCGCCGAGAGCGAGGGAGGGCTGCGAGCGCTGCCAGCATGCTGTCACCTCTCAGAATGACTTACGATCAAGGTAAATGTTGGCTACCATTGAAGCATATAGATTATGATCTTACATCGTCTTGGGGTAGGTGTAGAGAAAGCTTATCAGAGGAGTGTGGTTGAAAAAGTCGTATTTTTAACCTCCCACAGTGCCTTATAGAGAATAGGTACTTAATAAATGTTTGAATCAAAAACACAAAATCCTATAAAAATATGTTTCAGTAAATCTAAAATTGATACAGTTTTACTAAATTTTGTTACAACTGCTATGTTCAGAATGTTTGTGTCTCCCCAAAATTCATACATTGGAGCCTAATCCCCAATGTGGTAGAAATTAAGAGATGCGGATTTGTGGAGTTGATTAGGTTATGAGAGCTCAATCCTAGTGAATGGGATTAGTTCCTTTGTAAAAAAGAGGCCTGAGGGAACTTGTTTGCCTCTCAGGTCACATGAGGACATGGCAAACATGGCAACAAGGCACCATCTTTAAAGTAGAGAGCAAGCCTCACCAGACACTGAATCTGGAGGTGCCTTGATCTTGGACCTTCCAGCCGGTAAGAACTGTGAGCAATAAATTTGTCCTACTCATAAATTACCTCGTCTAAGATATTTTGTTCTAGCAGCCCTAACAAAGACAATAACCTTCTAAGATTTGTTTTATTATGCTGAATGAGACAACACAGATGGAGAAAAAAATTAAATCCTGCCAAAGTTGGGAGTTTTCATATCTTTTTCACTTTTGCCATCAAGTAATATTACCCTCCCCTCAAAGCAACAGAGCTGAGTTCTTTCTCATCTAGGTCTAAGGAGTAACAAACATCCTTGCTTTCTTTGAGTGCCAGAGTCAGTAACAGAAAAAGCTGGCGCAAATTCTCAGGAGGAAATGCTAATTTGACTCCTCTCCACAAAATGTTGACACTTGACAACTCTATGTTTTTAAAATCTGATACCAAGGGTATTATCAGGGTATAGGAGGTCTTTTTGAGTTAAAAACAGGCTTAGAGTTCTTTGATGAGAGCCAAAAGGCAGTCTGGGAACTGGAAATGTTTATTGGACCTATGTTAAGATTTGGAGAACTGTGCACAATATATATTTTTTTTGCCCATAACCTTCATAGTCTTTGTTTCTGGGCCTAAAATAACATTTTTCTTCTCTTTTGCTACCAAAGTAGAAGCATTTTGGGAAAGTGTATATTTATGGAAAATATATCAAGAAAGGCTTCAGAGCAGAATATTGCCAAGCCTGCCACTTTGGGATAGTGCAAATAAATTAAAATAGTATTCTTAACACAAGCAAAAGAAAAAAAGTAGAATTCTTTCTATTCTTCTTAGACTTGCCTGAGTTTTATAAGCCTTGAGTATTAGACTGACAAAGTATCCAAAGGAAGATTTAGATAATTTGGGACGTGACTTAATGGGAATACAGTTTAAGTCTCAGGATTTTTGTCATTTGGGACAATTGACATGATAGTGTATGTCAGTTCTAGGACCAAACAGATGAACAAGAGTCAAAGCATATGAATTTGACTTTTTTACAGGAGAAAATCATGTCATTTCTAAGTTTTGATTTCTTCATCTGTAAAAAGCTAGTAATAACTTTACATACATAAAATAATATATATGAAAGTATTCTGTGCACTGTAAGCCACTATACAATGATACTGATAATAATGGTGATAAACTGAAAGCAGCAAAAGAAATCACTTTAGAAGCAAGGATGTCTTTACATATAAGGGAAATAATTCAATCCACATTAAAATCTTCAGGTTTATCTAGAGAGTCTCTGCTATCTTTGTTGAGAATCTCTTTGTTGTGCCTTTTCCTGCCAAAATTGAAGTTTTCTTCTACCATTCTTTGTTTGCTCTCATACCTTCTAGATGAGAGCTTGAAGCCCAAGCACAAGAAAAGAGAACAGTGTATGGGAGAACATAGAGGCAGTGCTGTGGACATAAATCAGAACCAGGGTGGTCCCAGTTCTGCCCTTTGAACATGACAGTATCTATTCCTGGAAGGAAGGGGAGCAACAGGACAAGGGCTCTGGGATCCTGAGGAAGTTAAAGCCAGCAGTGGTTTTGCAGCTTCCTAACTATCTTCTGACTCCACTTATTTTGCCTGTTCCAGAACCTTAAGGTGTCATCTTGGATCTTCTCAGGCAGTGACGACAAATCTGATGAGTCTGTTCTTGAGATGCTATAGTAGATGCAGGCCAACTAACCTTTACCTCCCCTTTCTAGGTCCAATAGCAGAAATCTAGTATCTTTCACTCTCCAAGGGAATTTTCAGTGGTTTTGGAAATTGCACAGCCCCCAAATGTCCTGGATGCTACCAACTACCAGTTTCAGACCTTTTACTATCACCTCTGATGGCTTCATCCTCACATTTGTCTCCCTCAGTACTTCAAGGTTTCTCTCTTGTTCCTATTACGTCTGCTACTAGCTTTGTAAAAATACACAATATATAGTGCACTAATTTTTATCAGACCCAATAGTTTCATTTATAAAAAATAAAAATAAAGAACCAGAAAAAAGATTCAGATGTATAATTAAGAACTCTTAATTTTTCCATTTGCTCTGCTTGATATTACTAAAATTTAGATGTCTGAAGATTTAGCCAACCAATCTCTAGATATGTCAACAATCACAAAACAAGTGTTCACAGAGTACAAACCATTTTATTAAGTGAAGAAGATTATTAAAAAACAGGCAGCTCCCACCTTCAAATATTTTAGGAATCCCTTACCGACTTAACATAATTAAAATTCCCACTGGGTTTCAATATTTAAATGCCATTTTATACAACTTGGGGTTATCCATGTTAACATTTAAAAATATTTTTCATCCATATTATAAATTAATAAATTTGTTTCAGTGCAGATAAATAGAAGGACTACCCATAGTCTTACCATCAAGAAAGAGTTAACTGCTCAGAAAAATTTGCTGCATTTCTCTTCTGTGTGTGTTATTTTTCAGAGTTTAGCATGTACAATATACACATTTTATTATCTTTTTTAACCTGTTTTGTCGTAAGTCTTTTCCATCCATTAGAGAATTTTTATAAATATAGTTTTAATGAATGTTTATTAAATAAGTTATGTTATTGTATATTATTAATAAAATAATGGACATTACAAGTACATTTGTGGAAATTCTCTATAATTTTATATAATATATAAATTTTATGTAATATTTGTAAGTATATTACTCTCTGAATGAAAGTTACATCCAGAAGTGCCTTTTTGCTCTTTTGAATAATTAATGTGATTAATATTTCTGTACCTAAGTATGTCTTCATCTTGAATTATTTTCTTAGAATATATTTCCCAAATTGAAATACTAGATGAAGTCATTAGAAGTTATGCTTTGTGTAATAATGTTTTGGTGATCTTAATACATGGGAACATAGCAAATTTTACATCCTAGGCTAATTTCAAATCAATCCTTATTGAGGTCATCAAAGAATAGGACTTGCTTTTAATAATAGATAATATTATTGAGCATTTTATGTGGCTCTTCTAAATCCTACTTATTCCTCCCCACAGCCCTGACATGAAGGCCCTATTATTAACCCAATGTAGCAGAAGAGAACAATAAAGCCCAGAGAGTTGAAATAAATGGCCCAAGGTCACAGCTAGGGATAGTCACAGTTACGATTTGAACCCATGCAACCTGATTCCAGGACCTTTATTCTTAACTACCACCTGCCCTCTAATAAGACAGCAATTCTTCAGCTCTCAAGGCAGAAAAGTACCAAACCTTCCCCCTATAAAATGTCTACTTATTATTTATTATATGCTTCCTTTCATTAAAAAGAATAATCTCACTTGGAAGCCAGCAGAGTAAAATTAAAGCAATTACAAGAGTACACTGGCCAGAGAAGCTGGGTTAAAATGTTGCTAGAACAAGCTGATGTTTATGAGAAGAAAACTTCAGGGGAAATCTCATTTATTACTCCATTCTCACACTGCTATAAAAAAAATCTGACACTTGGTAATTTATGAAGAGAAGAGTTTTAATCGACTCACAGTTCTGCAGGCTGTACAGGAAGCATGGCCTCAGGAAACTTACAATCATGGCAGAAGGCGAAGGGGAAGCAAGCGTGTGTTACCATGGTGGAGCAGAAGACAGAGAGAAGAAGAAGGAAGTGCCACATACTTTTAAACAATCATATCTCGTGATAACTCACTCACTATCACGAGAACAAGGGGGAACTCCACCCCCATGATGCAATCACCTCCCACCAGTTTCCTCACCCAACACTGGAAACTCAACCTGAGATTTGGGTGGGTACAGAGGGTCAAACCATATCACCCCTTTTCCGAGAGACATAATAGAGGAAACTCCAAAGTGCTCAGACGTTGTTCTCAGCTAATGTCTCTGAGCTTAACTAAATATAAGTGGCAAAAGAAAGAAAGGTTTAGTTTGGAGGGAGTGTGGGAACCAGAAAATAACAAGAGTTAGTCAAGCAGGAAAAGTTCATCCACTGACCTGTGAGTGCTCCTATGACAAAGGCCATGTCTTTTTAGTTATTACACCCCCAACACCAAACACACTGTCTGGCACATAGAAACGCTTCAATAAATGATTGCTGAACAAAAATGAACTGTGCTAGGCTGGGTGCGGTGTCTCATGCCTGTAATCCCAGCACTTTGGGAGGCCAAGGCAGGTGGATCACCTGAAGTCAGGACTTTGAGACCAGCCTGGCCAACATGGTGAAACCCTGTCTCTACCAAAAATAAAAATATTAAGTGAGCATGGTGGCACACACCTGTAATCCCAGCTACTCAGTAGGCTGAGGCAAAAGAATCACTTGAACCTGGGAGGCAGAGGTTGCAGTGAGCTGAGATCATGCCGCTGCACTCCAGCCTGGGCACCAGAGTCAGACTTTGTCTCAAAAAAAATAGAAAAATAAATAAAAATAACTGTGCTGCTTGCCAAAGGGCCTCCAAGGTCCACTCTCCAATACAGGACAAGTGAAACCCATTCCATGTAGACATTAACAGTACGAGAGCAAAGGAATGGGTTTGTAGAAGGATATTTCACCTGCAGGAGGAGTGAGTGAAAGTGGAAATAATGCACAAAAACCACATGATTCTCTCAATAGATGCAGAAAAGGCCTTCAACAAAATTCAACACCCTTTCATGCTAAAAACTCACAATAAACTAGGTATCTATGGAACGTATCTCTATTTATGACAAACCCACAGCCAATATCATACTGAATGGTCAAAACCTGGAAGCATTCCCTTTGAAAACTGGCACAAGACAAGGATGCCCTCTCTTACCACTCCTATTCAATATAGTATTGGAAGTTCTGGCCAGAACAATCAGGCAAGAGAAATAAATAAAGCGTATTCAAATAGGAAGAGAGGAGGTCAAATCGTCTCTGTTTGCAGATGACATGATTGTATATTTAGAAAACCCCATTGTCTAAGCCAAAATCTCCTTAAGCTGATAAGCATCTTCAGCAAAGTCTCAGGATACAAAATCAATGTGCAAAAATCACAAGCATTCCTATACACTAATAACAGACAAACAGCCAAATCATGAGTGAGCTCCCATTCATAATTGCTACAAAGAGAATAAAATACCTAGGAATCCAACTTACAAGGGATGTGAAGGACCTCTTCAAGCCAAACTACAAACCACTGCTCAAGGAATAAAAGAGGACACAAACAAATGCAAAAATATTCCATGCTCATTGATAAGAAGAATGAATATCATGAAAATGGCCATACTGCCCGAAGTAATTTATAGATTCAATGCTATACTCATCAAGCTACGAAAAAACTACTTTAAATTTCATATAGAACCAAAAAAGAGCCCACATAGCCAAGACAATCCTGGGCAAGAAGAACAAAGCTGGAGGCATAACGCTACCTGACTTCAAACTATTCTACAAGGCTACAGTAACCAAAACAGCATGGTACTGGTACCAAAACAGATATATAGACCAATGGAACAGAACAAAGGCCCCAGAAATAACACCACATATCTACAACCATCTGAACTTTGACAAACCTGACAAAAACAAGCAATGGGGAAAAGGTTCCCTATTTAATAAATGGTGTTGGGAAAACTGGATAGCCATATGCAGAAAACTGAAACTGGACCCCTTCTTTACACTTTACAAAAATCAACTCAAGATGGATCAAAGACTTAAACATAGGACCTATGACCATAAAAATCCTAGAAGAAAACCTGGGCAATACTATTCATGACGTGGGCATGGGCAAAGACTTCATGTCTAAAACACCAAAAGAAATGGCAACAAAAGCCAAAATAGACAAATGGGATCTAATTAAACTAAAGAGCTTCTGCACAGCAAAAGAAACTATCATCAGAGTGAACAGACAACCTACGGAATGGGAGAACATTTTTGCAATCTATCCATCTGACAAAGGGCTAATATCCAGAATCTACAAAGAACTTAAACAAATGTACAAGAAAAAACAAACACCACCATCAAAAAGTGGGCAAAGGATATGAACAGAAGACATTTATGCAGCCAACAGACATATGAAAAAATGCTCATCATCACTGGTCATTAGAGAAATGCAAATTAAAACCACAATGAGATACTATCTCATGCCAGTTAAAATGGCGATCATTAAAAAGTAAGGAAACAACAGATGCTGGAGAGGATGTGGAGAAATAGGGATGCTTTTACACTGTTGGTGGGAGTGTAAATTAGTTCAACCATTGTGGAAGACAGTGTGGCGATTCCTCAAGGATCTAAAACTAGAAATACCATTTGACCCAGCAATCCCATTACTGGGTATATACCCAAAGGATTATAAACCATTCCATTATAAAGACACATGCACATGTATGTTTATTGCAGCACTATTCACAATAGCAAAGACTTGGAACCAACCCAAATGCCCATCAATGATAGACTGGATAAAGAAAATGTGGCACATATACACCATGGAATACTATTCAGCCATAAAAATGGATGAGTTCATGTCCTTTGCAGGGAAATGGATGAAGCTGGGAAACATCATTCTCAGCAAACTATCACAGGAACAGAAAACCAAACACTGCATGTTCTCACTCATAAGTGGGAGTTGAACAATGAGAACATATGGACATAGGGGAACATCACACATCAGGGCCTGTCAGTGAGTGGGGGCCTGGGGGACAGATAGCATTAGGAGAAATACCTAATGTAGGTGATGGGTTGATGGGTGCAGCAAGCCACCATGGCACGTGTATACCTATGTAACAAACCTGCACTTTCTGCACATGTACCCCAGAATTTAAAGTATATTAAAAAAAAGATAAAAGAACCGTGCTGCTTGCCAAAGGGCCTGCAGGTCAACTCTCTAATAGAGGACAAGTGAAAACCAATCCATGTAGACATTAACAGTATGAGAGCAAAGGAATGGGTTTGTAGAAGGATATTTCACCTGCAGGAGGAGTTAGTGAAAGTGGAAATAACACACAGATTAGAAGAAGTAAGAGCCTAAATAAAAGAGATGTTTTCTTATTTTAGAGATATAAAAAAAGAAGTGGCTAGAATTTGTTATCTGAAAACTGGAGGCTAACAGAAGAATCTTCTACCCTGCCCTTGAATCTAAGATTTTTATACAGAAAAATGTTTTGACTCTATGTATTTAGGTATTTTAGATAAAAATATACTAATATTTTAAATTTTTGTTTAAGAATTCTTTCTTGAGCAATTTTCATTAAAGTAGAAGGAAAGAGAATGACAAAAGAGGGTAAGGGGAAAGGTCAAGGAAAGAGATACAGAACCCTAAAAATGCTTAAGTCAGGGCAAGCTCTGAACCCTAAAGAAAAGTTATGCTTGTGGATATTTAACCTCTTGTGATTTGTACAATTTTAATATGATGTATTACACCGTGTGTAACTCTTACAGATTGAAATTTTTGGCTTTATAACTTGGTATTTTATATCCTTTTCAGTTAGTAGCTATGGCTTCTATGCTGTCCCTGCCCATAGATCTTAAAATGGTACCATTTATCACTGAATTTTAAATGATACTAAAAATGACAATAAGGATGTTGAAGAATTTTTTTCCAAATGTATCTTATATTAGTCCATTTTCACACTGCTGATAAAGACATATCCGAGACTGGGTAATTTATAAAGAAAAAGAGGTTCCACGTGGCTGCAGAAGCCTCACAATCATGGCAGAAGGCCATTTTACATGGCAGCAGGCAAGAGAGAATGAGAGCCAAGCAAAAGGGGAAACCCCTCATAAAACCATCAGATCTCATGAGACTTATTCACTACCACGAGAACAGTATGGGGGAAACTGCCCCCATGATTCAATTATCTCCCACCAGATCCTTCCCACAACACATGGGAATTATGGGAGTGCAATTCAAGATGAGATTTGAGTAGGGACACAGCCAAACTATATCATATCTGCTCATCTCCCAAGCAATTCAAGGTTAACTTGAAAATATTTAGCAATACAATTTTAAATGCCTGCTCTTCATGGAGTTTAAATAAACATTCAGGAAGTTGGGGGGCAGTATTAATTGATGGTTAAGAATATAGTCTTTAAGACCTGGATTCCAGTCCCAGCTCTGCCACTTACTGGCTGTGTGACCTTGAGTTAAGTTAATTGAGCTGTAGGGTTCTCATTATAAAATAGAGATAATAATATCTACTTAATAGGCTTGTCAGAAGACATAGATAACACGATATGTGTAAAGTGCTTAACACTGTCTGGCACTTACTGGGCAACAAATAAACAGTAGTTGCTGCTGACCCTAGTTCAACTCTTCCGAGTTTACAAAGTGGACCATAACTGTTACAAGAACAGGATTCCTCATGAGACCCACATAACTTCCTGAATATGGGTAGGCCAGAAATTCTCTGGGAACTGTTGAAATGTTTCCTTCCAGATCTGATGAATTCCAGGACTTGCAAAAACTGCAGAAGTGAAAATCATTAACTAACATCTGCAAAAATCATTATATATGAATGGGTGAATTTTGTGTTCGTTCTCATTGAATCCCAACCATGTTCTAGTTCTTAGTAGGTAGTTTCCACCTTTATTTTGTACATTTGCCTTGGGCTTTGTTCACATCTTTTTTCTGTTAACATCAAGTTCCCCTGTGGCCTCACGAACAAACTTGTTCTCCTATGTTGTATATGGAAGTTGAAGACTTGATTATGACAACTGAATTAGAAGAAACTGTTATTTCATTTTACGGTTGGAAGAAAATGTATGATTTGGTAGTGAATTTTCTTTTTCTTCTTTGTTTGTTTATTAAAGACTGGAGGGAATATTTTCTCCATTTTTCCTCTTGATCCTGTGCATTACTCCTTCCAATCTAAAATAAGTAAGTGAAAGTAAAATTCAAATATATAAAACATGTTCAAACAAGCCTTAGGTACAAGGCAATAAAAGTACACAAAGCCACTGATTAGAATGTATAAGAAAATTTCACTACCAGTAATATAAAAAGCAAGGCCTAAATTTACATATGTGTGATAATTTGAATCCTAAGATTGAGTTGAATACTTTTATAAGTGAGGCTTACAGTTTTATTATTTAATTGACTTATAAAACTTTTTGCCAATTTAAACTGGGTAGGAGGTTGGTCATGTTTAAAAGGCCAGAAAGACATAGACAAAAATCATTAGTCTCCTTCCTGGGGCACAAATTAACTTTATAGCACCCACTTTATAGCATAGGCCATGATTCCTGCCTGTGATTTAAAAAGCTAGGAGAGTAATAAAAATATTTTTAATGGGAGGGAAATACAGTACATTCACTTGTAATTTTAAAAATGAAGTAAGCTGAGAAAAGATACCAACACATAAGAATGCAAATAAGAAACCAGAATAAGAATAGACAAGATGAAGCAAAACCAAATTTATAAAAGAGAATTAGACTGCATAAAAAGGCAAAAATCAATAAAAGCAATTGTATAAATTAGTAGGAAAAACAAAATAGGTTTTGAATGATTAAAGATTTAAATAAACTAATAATATTGTAATGATATAATCAATACTTTAATAGAATAGAGATTAGGAGAATGTAAACCAAATGGGGTGTGTGTGTGTGTGTGTGTGTGTGTGTGCTGTGTTCACTGTGTTAAGATGATGACACAAATTCAAAAGAATCAGAGTTGTATGAAACCAAATATAGTTCTCAAAATTAAAAAGCCACAAAGTTCAGCATTCTATCTCTTTTTTGCCTTTCTGGGCATGATGTTGCTTCATGGGTCCTGTAGACTGATAGCTAGGTAGAGCTGGGTGGCTGACGGAGGAATCCAGGTTTTTCCTCTGTGCCTCCCAGAAGAGTCTCCTGTCACTGTCCCAACCTCTGAGAGACACCTGTATCAGGAGAAGTACCCTGCTCAGTGAATATGGGACCAAGAATTCCACTGCTTCAGCCACACCCAGCAGGGACAATCACACTGTGAGGTGTGACGAATTTTACATCTTTTTGGCAACAGCAGAAGCCAGTCATTACAGTGATAAAGAAATTCATTTTTCAAATTCCATTTCAACTAATTTGAACAAACTTAATATTTTCTGCCTGTTCATAGTGAAGGCTGTATTTTTTCCCTCAAATAATGTGGACACAAAGCCTTTTGAAAATGTTTAGCTGTCATTTATTAATTTTTTTAATGGTCAAATACTTTAAATGTTCAAAGCTGAGTTAGATATGGTTCTTTCAAGTGCACCTTGGAAGTGGAAATTAACATCCACTTCCAAGTAGCTCAATTTTATAATAAATAGAAAAATATAAATGTCATTGATAATAGCTCTAATGCACAATTTTGTGTTAATTTTTAATTTTATTGTAAAATTAACTGCACTTTTATATTCTTCATCTTGACAATGTCTTATTACATTGTGACTCTAATCCTAGATTATTGTTTTGATTTAACGTTTTCTGTTATCATTTTGAATGCTGCTTATTTCTAAGTAAATGAATATAAGGAGAACATTAATTTCCAAAGCACTAATTATATATCACTGTCTTAATGTGTTTTCTTTATCAGACACCTCAACATTCCTTGCACATCTGAGACATCTCACCTTAAACTGCCTATCTAGATAGCTCTCAGTCTTCCACAGTGTCTGGAGTGTAATCAGTCACTAGGGAGGATGGCTTCCTACCTTCTCATTTTCTTCTAGATATTGCAATGTTACCAAGCCTTCCTTTAAAAATATTGCAAAGTTTGGTTTGGAAGAAAGTTGTATCACTTTTGGCTATTACTGGAAAAGTTTGTCATCACCTCAGTAATATTCTTCCTGGTTATTTCATATCTTGGCATTGGTATGCCCTTCAAAAAACATAGTTAAGTAATGGAATTGAACTCTCCCCAGAAATTCCTTAAGAACGCATTTTTGTTCTGAAAACTCTTTCCCTTAGATTTTATCCTCTGTTCAAGGCCTATTCTTGCAAATATTCTGTCAGAGAATGCACAGAAAATGTTTTTCATGGCACAAATGTATTTAAGGACATTCACTGGCGTGACAAAGATATTTAAGAGTCTCACAGAGATCCTAATAGGATGACCCTGTAGAAATTACTGGAGTACACAGTGTTGGAGAAAATTACAGTCAGTCTATCAACAGAATTTATTGGATGTTAGGCCATGAACTAAGTGCTGATCTTATTCAGACATGAGAGAAGGTAGAATCACGTAACAGTCACTCACAAGGAATACTTTGGCGGAAAACACAAATTTTTTGTATGGGAGTCAGATTTCCATAACTTGAATTTTTTCTGAACTTGTAAGATAAAATAAGTTCTGTGATATTTAAAGAGTCTCTCTAGCAACTCCTGGCATTGAAAGATTCTAAGATGTATTCTAGTACTTCCACAGAAACCACTCTTTCCTAACAAAACTATAATCTTTTAACTAAATGTCTTGGAACAGAGAATGACTATGCAAGATACAAGTCAAATTACAGGGAAAGAAAAAGTGCATTAAGGAAAACAAAATTAAATTTGAAATTATATAATAATCATTTACATAGCATTTACTGTGGGTTAGCCACTGTTCTCAGCACTTCACATATTTTAACATATTTAATTCTTCCAAGAAGTTCATGAGCTGGATTGTAATACAAATCTCATTTTTATATGCAGAAAGCCAAACACACACATCAGCTTAAAGTCGCAAAGAATAATGATTCAAACCTTGAGAGTCTGGTTCCAGAGCTCTGCATATAAGCATTACATTACACTATCTCTTAATGCCCCTGATGGTGTTTCTACATGTTTAAGAGCACAATATTACAGTCTGATATCTCCAAGTATAACTAAAACAAGTCATTTATTGAATCAACATTGATTGACTAGACATATCAATGAGAATAGATAAAATCAATAAACAGTAGTGGGATGAAGAAAACCACAAGACAGCAAGCACTCATCATGTACTATCAAAACAAAAATAGCAATTAAATTCAAAATGCATTTAAAACTTATTATTAAAAAGTAAACACTTAAACAGAGCCAGAAAAAAACACCCAAGCAAAATATTAAAATGTAATTCTTAGAGGAATAATATCAGTGGGGGGAATAAAACTGGCTTTAGCTTTCTGATGAAGGCCTTGGAAGTCAGCGTCATTATGCTGCATGGAAAAATAATTACTGAAGATGCTAACCAATTTGACTTGGGTCTACAACACAGAGATTCAGCATCAGCCAATCATTGCAAAGATATGTCTGTTCTAGCAAAGGTATAATTTTGTAGCAGATAAAATGCATTTTAATAATAAGCTGTATTGTATTAGTTAGACATGATACCAATATAATAATTCTTATGTTTACTCACTGTATCCCTAAGACTGTTAAAATCACTGCTGTCAGTTTCAACTGCAAAGCTGTCATAACTTTCTTTTATTCATATAGAATGAGGTATTTCCACCAACAGTGTAAAAGCATTCCTATTTCTCCACATCCTCTCCAACATCTGTTGTTCCTAACTTTTTAATGATCACCATTCTAACTGGCATAAGATGGTATCTCATTGTGGTTTTGATTTGCATTTTTCTAGTGACCAGTGGTGATGAGCTTTTTTTCATATGTTTGTTGGCTGCATTTATGCACTTATCTTCTTTTGAGAAATGTCTGCTCATATCCTTTGCCCACTTTTTGATGGGGTTGGTTTTTTTTCTTGTAAATTTGTTTAAGTATTTTGTAGATTCTGGATATTAGCCCTTTGTCAGATGGATAGATTGCAAAAATTTTCTCCCATTCTGTAAGTGGCAAGTTCACTTCTTTTGCAGGGCAGAAGTTCTGTTGTTTAATTAGATCCCATTTGTCAATTTTGGCTTTTGTTGCCATCGCTTTTGGTGTTTTAGTCATGAAGTCTTTGCCCATGCCTATGTCCTGAATGGTATTGTCTAGGTTTTCTTCTAGGGTTTTTATGTTCTTAGGTCTTACATTTAAGTCTTTAATAGTTCAACCATTGTGGAAGACAATGTGGCAATTCCTCAAGGATCTACAACCAGAAATACCATTTGACCCAGCAATCCCATTACTGGGTATATACCCAAAGGATTGTAAATCATTCTTGTGTAAAGTCACATACACACATATGTTTATTGTGGCACTATCCACAATAGTGAAGATTTGGAAACAACCCAAATGCCCATCAATGATAGACTGGATAAAGAAAATGTGGCACATATACACTGTGGAATACTATGCAGCCATAAAAAATGAGGAGTTCATGTCCTTGCAGGGACATGGATGAAGCTGGAAACCATCATTCTCAGCAAACTAACACAGGAACAGAAAACCAAACACCACATGTTCTCATTCATAAGTGGGAGTTGAACAATGAGAACACATAGACACAGGGAGGGGAACATCACACACCAGGGCCTATTGGGGGGGGTAGGGGGCTAAGGGAGGGGTAGCATTAGGAGAAATACCTAATGTAGATCATGTACCTAATGTAGATGATGGGTTAATGGGTGCAGCAAACCACTATGGCACGTGTATACCTGTGTAACAAACCTGCACTTTCTGCACCTGTACACCAGAATTTAAAGTATTTAAAAAAAAGGTATTTCACTAGGCATTGGCTTAATCTGAATGTAAAAATCATATATTTTTAAAAATCAACACATGAATAAGCTATTTCACTACGTTGGAGATTATCCCTCTTATAATCAATATAAAAGGGAGTTGCTTTGACATCATGAATCCAAAGCTCCTAGAAAAATGCTTGACATGCACAGTAGGTGTTCAACCAATATTTCTTGCATGAATAAGTAAATAAAAGCATCTGGCCAATAAGCAGAAAAGCAGACAGAATGTGTTTCCCTTAAATATGATAACAGAAACGTGAGTTACTCTACCTCTTATTAAAGTGGAATAAAAATAGAAGAGACTTCTGGTTTCTGGTGCAGCATATAAGGAACTTAGAAGTCACCACTGTGTCTTAAAAAAAGCAAGTAAAGAACTAAACAAACTGAAAAATGAACAACTCTTCTTAGATCTGTCAGAGAAGCAAGATCACAAGGCAAGCCACTCCTCCCAAATTGAAGATATAGGTAGATTCAGAAAATAACAACTAACTGAAGCAAAAGTCTCTTCAGAAACTAGCACTGAGGTAAGAAACATAACTAACAAATTACTGAAGAATCAGTGTGCACAAGGCTGAAAGCTGAAAACTCCAAGGATACCTAGTTGTAGGGAACCCCTCATACTTCTGGGCGTTTCACCTCCAGGAGCTCTACCAGGTCAGCACCATGAATATTGGAGAAAAAACCCTTCCTGCTTCCAGCAGGGGGAGATAAAAAGTAACCACTTTGAAATACACCAAAGCATTCTGTTTTTCTCAGAGCCTAACCTACTAGGATGTAATCAGAGCCTAACAAGCCCAAAGGAAGGGAACACTTAACTCGAGGTGGTTCTAGCCTTCCATGTGGGAAAAGGAAATACCCAGCTCCAACTCCCTCTAAATCTCCTGTTTAATATTAATGTGGGAGGAAACCTGAGAAGCACTTCTGAAGCTCACCAGTGGCACAGACTCACTAAAAGATGGAGATTTGCTGATGAGACTCTTGAAGGCCTTTTCTGCCCCCACACCTTACACCATAATACTAAAGGCCTATTTAATGCAGTTTATTTTACTCGATATATTATGTCTACCTCTCAACAAAAATTTACAAGGCATACTAAAAGGCAAAAATCACAGTGTGAAGCAATCAAATAAGCATCAGAACCAGAGTCAAATATAACAGTAATGCTAGACTTCTAAATTCAAGATTTTAAAAAAATCTATGATCCAAATAGTAAGGGCTTTAATAAAGTAAGTAGATAACATGCAAGAAAGGATAAAAAATGTAAGCAGAGAGAGAAATTCTAAGAGAGGCAAAATAGAAGCAATAGAAATTTCTACAAACTGAAAACAGAGAAGAAAAAGACTGACAAAAAGCTAGAAAAGAATATTTAAGCACTGTGGGACAAGTGCAAGAGGTACAAATATGAATAACTGGAATATTAGAGAAGAAGAAGCAAAGGAGCAGGATATTTAAAACAATAATGATTGTGAATTTCAAATTAATGTCAGACACCAAATTACAGAAATAGGAAGCTTATAGAACACCAAGAAAGACACATCCACCCCCCAAAAAACCCTAGTTCTATCATATTCAAACTTCAGAAAATTAAAGATAGAGAAAGAAGGTAGAGGGAAAATAAACACTTTACCCATAGAGGAGCAAACAATTAGATGAAACTTCTCCCCAAGAACCATGCAAACAAGCAGAGAGTAGAATAAAATATTCAAGGCCGGGCGCGGTGGCTCACGCCTGTAATCCCAGCACTTTGGGAGGCTGAGGCGGGCGGATCACTAGGTCAGTAGATCAAGACCATCCTGGCTAACACGGTGAAACCCCGTCTCTACTAAAAATACAAAAAATTAGCCAGGCGAGGTGGCGGGCGCCTGTAGTCCCAGCTACTCGGGAGGCTGAGGCAGGAGAATGGCGTGAACCCGGGGGGCGGAGTCTGCAGTGAGCTGAGATCGCGCCACTGCACTCCAGCCTGGGCGACAGCGAGACTCCGTCTCAAAAAAAATAATAAAATAAAATATTCAAACAATATTTTAGCTATTTTAGATATAACAGTATTTAAAGTGTTGAGAGAAAAAAAATACAAACCTAGAATTTCGTGCCCTGTGAAATTATCCTTGAAAGGAAAGAGAAATAAAGGCTTTCTCAGTTGAACAAAAATTGAGAGAATTGGTTGGCAGAACTGCCTTGCAATTAATAAAAAAAGAAATGTATCAGAAAGAAGGAAAATGATATAGTTTCAGAAACTACGTAAAGGAAGAATGTCAGAGAATGAGTAACTAAAGGTAAAACAAAAACTTCTATTTTTCTTATTCTTGATGTAATAGATAAGAGTTTGTTCAAAATAATAATGGCAGCAAAGTATTTAATTATGCATACTTAGGTGAATATATATACATAAGCATATACATGTAAATATGCATAAGCTTATGAATAAGTGAAACAAATGACAGCAATAACACATAAGACAGGAGGAAAGAATTATGACTATTTTGTTTTTATACAGTAGTCACACTACTCCTTAAATGGCATTGTGTCATTTGAAAGTGGACTTAGATTGGTTGTAAATGTATATTACAAACTCTAAAACAAGCACTAAAGAAATAAAATTTTTAAAAGACCTATACTTGATAACTAAGAAAACATAAAAAGTAGAATCATTTAAAATGCTCAATTAAAAGCACAAGAGGCAAAAAAATAAAAAAAGTACAGTAGACAAATATAGGAAGATAGAACAATGGCAATAAATACAAAACACTAACAAATAGGATAAATATAAATCCAACTATATCAATGATCACTTTAAATTTCAGTGGCCTAAATACACCAATTAAAAGACAATGATTGGCCAGGTGCTGTGGCTTACGCCTGTAATCCCAACACTTTGGGAGGCCAAGAAGGGTAGATTACCTGAGGTCAGGAATTCAAGACCAGCCTGGACAACATAGTGAAACCTCGTCTCTACTAAAATACAAAAATTAGCCGGGCATGGTGGCATGCTCCTGCAATCCCAGCTACTCTGGAAGCTGAGGCAGGGGAATTGCTTGAGCCCGGGAGACGGAGATTGCAGTGAGCCAAGATCGCGCCACTGTACTCCAGCCTGAGCAACAGAGTGAGACTCCATCTCCAAAAAAAAAAAAAAAAGACAACAATTGTCAGTCAGAGTGAATGGAACAACACGATCCAACTGTGTGTTGTCCACAACTTTAAGCATTAAAACATGTATAAATTAAAAGTAAATGGAAGGTGAAAAACATACCACGCTACTACTAATCAATAGAAAACATAGCTATTATGTTTTAATTTATCAAGCTATATTAATATATTTTATTAATTTTAGACAGCACAGACTTCAAGCAAAGTTATAAGGGACAAAATGAGCATTATATAATGATAAAAGGGTCCATGCTTCTAGGAGGTATAACAATCCTTAAGGTATATACATCTAACTAAAGAGTGTCAAACTATGTGAAGCAAAACTGATAGAACTGAAAGAAGAAATAAATGTGTTATTATACTTGGAGACAATAACATTCTTTATTAATTTAATTTAATAATATTATTAATTTAATTTAATAACATTATTAATTTAATTAACAGAACTCTTAGGTAGAAAATCAGTAAGGAAGGACCTATTTGACCTCAACAGCATCATCAATCAATCAACATCTGTAGATAACTTCATCCAACAATAGCAGATTATGTATTTTCCTAAAGTTCACATGGAATATTCAGTAACATACACCACTATCTGGGTCATGGAAAGCACCTTAAGAAATTTTAAACAATACAACTGTAAATTGTCGTCTGCCCTGAGACCACAATGAAATTAAAGTAGAAAACAATAACAGAAAGATAGCTGGGAAATACATGCAGAATCCCATGTATTTACCAAAATACATACAGATTTTAAAAACCTTCCAAATAAAACAGCAATCAAAGAAGTAATCTAAAAAGAAGTGAAAAAATATTTTGAACTAAATTAAAATGATAATACAGTTTACCAAAATTTGTGGGATAGAGTGAAAGCTGTGCTTGCAGGGAAATTTACAGCACTGAATGCATATAATAGAAAAGAAGAAACATCTAAAAATCAATAATCTAAAAAGAGACAAAAGCGGACATTATATAATGATAGTGGAGTCAATTTAGTAAGAGGATACAACAGTTGTAAATACATAAACACCCCACACTGCAGCATCCAGATATATAAAGCAAATATTATTAGAACTAAACAGAGAGATGGGCCCCAATAAAATAATAGCTGGGAGCTCCAACACACCACTTACAGCATTTAACAAATCATCAAGACAGAAAATCAACAAGGCAACACTGAACTTAATCTGCATTCTAGACCAAATGGACCTAAATAGATATTAAGAGAATATTTCATTCAGTGGTGGAGAATAAACATTCTTCTCCTCAGTACCTAGATCATTCTGAAAGATAGGCCATATGTTAGGTCACAAAACAAGTCTTGAAATATTCAAAAAAATTGAAATCATATCAAATATCTTCTCTGAACACAATGGAATAAAACTGGAAATCAACAAAAAGGGGAACTTCGGAAACTATATGAACACATGGAAATTAAAGAATATGATCTTTAATGACTAGTGGTTCAATAAAGAAATTAAGATGAAAGTTTAAAAACTTCTTGAAACAGATAGAAATAGAAACACAACATAATAACACTCATGGAATACAGCAAAAGCAGGACTAAGAGGAAAGCTTATAACAAAAGTGGCTATGTCAAAAAAGTAGAAAAATTTTAAATAAACAACCTAAAGATGGATCTTACAGAAGTAAAAAAGAGCAAACCAAACCCCAAATTAGTAGAAGCAAAGAAATAATAAAGATCAGAGCAGAAATAAATGAAATTAAAATAAAAAAGTACAAAGGATCAATGAAATAAAAAGTTGATTATTTGAAAAGATAAAATTGACAATATTTAGCCAGAATAATTAAAAAAAAGATAAGACCCAAATACATAAAATTAGAGATAGAAAAAGAGACATCACAACTGAAACCACAGAAATTCCAAGGATCGTTAGAGGCTACTATGAGCAACTACATACCCAATAAATTGGAAAACTTAAGAGAAATTGATAAATTCCTAGACACATACAACCTATCAAGATTGAACCATGAAGAAATCCAAAACCTTAACAGACCAATAACAAGTAATGAGATTGAAGCCATAATAAAAAGTCTCTCAGCAAAGAAAACCCAGGCCCTCATGGCTTCACTGCTGAATTTTGCCAAACACTTAAAGAAAAACCAATACCAATCCTACTCAAACTATTCTGAAAAGTAGAGGAAGAGAAATACTTCCAAACTCATTCTACGAGGCCAGTAATATAAAAAAACAGACAAAGGTACATCAAAAAAAGAAAACTACAGGCTAATATCTCTAATGAACACTGATGCAAAAATCCCCAACAAAATACTAAAAAAGTGAATTTAACAACACATTAAAAAGGTCATTCATCCTGATCAAGTGGGATTTATTTCAGAAATGCAAGGGTGATTCAAAATATGCAAATCAATCAATGTGATGCATTATGTGAACAGAACAAAGGACAAAACCAATATGATCATTTCAATTGATGCTGAAAAAACATTTGATAAAATTTAACATCACTCCATGATGAAAACCCTCAAAAAGTTGAGTATAGAAGGAACATACCTCAACACAGTAAAAGCTACATATAACACACCCACAGCTAGAATCATACTGAATGAGGAAAAATTGAAAATCTTTTCTCTAAGATCTGGAAGAAGACAAGGATGCTAACTTTCACCATTGTTATTTTAGATAGTACTGCGGTCCTAGACAGAGCAATCAGACAAAAGAGCAAAATAAAGGGCAACCAAATTGGAATAGAAAAAGTCAGTTTCCAGATGATATAATCTTGTATTTGGAAAATCCTAGACTCCACCAAAAGCTATTAAAACTGATTTTTTTAAAAGTCAGTAAAGTGTGGAAACACACAAAAATCAGTAGCATTTCTGTATGCCAACAGGAAACAATCTGAAAAAGAAATTAAAAAGTAATTCCATGTACAATAGCTACAGATAAAATTAAATACCTAGGAATTAATTTCACCAAAGAATTGAAAGATCTCTAAAATGGAAACTATAAAACATTGAAGCAAGAAATTGAACAGGACACAAAAAAATGTAAAGATACTTTACGTTCATGCATTGGAAGAATCAATATTGCTAAACGTTCATACTATCTAAAGCAATCTACAGATTCAATGCAATCTCTATCAAAATGCCAATTGCATTCTTCAGAGGAAAGAAAAATCCTAAAACTTATATGGAACCACAAAAGACCCAGAATAGACAAGGGCATCCTGAGCAAAAATAACAAACCAAAAGGAGTGGCATTACCTGACTTTAAACTATACTACAGAGATATAGTAACTAGAACAGCATGGTACTGGCATAAAAACAGACACATAGACCAAAGGAACAGAATAGAGAACACAGAAATAAATCCATACCTCTGCAGTAAATTCATTTCAACAAATGTCAATAATATACATTGGGGAAAACACAGTCTCTTCAATAAATGGTGCTAGGAAAACTGGTACACATGCAGAAGAATGAAACTAGACCCCTATTTCCCACCATGAACAAAAATCAAAACAAAATGGATTAAAGACTTAAATATAAGACATGAAATCATAAAAATACTACAAAAAAACATTGGGGAAACTCTCCAGGACATTGGTCTAGGCAAAGTTTTTCCGAGTATTAGTACGCCACAAGCACAGGCAACCAAAGCAAAAATGAACAAGTATGATCACATCAAGTTAAAAAGCTTCTGTGCAGCAAATAAAACAATCAACAAAGTGAAGAAACAACTCACAGAATGAGAGAAAATATTTGCAAACTATACATCTGACAAGGGATTAATAACCAGAATATATAAGAAGCTCAAACAATTCAATAAGAAAAAAATTAATAATTCAATTAAAAAATGCACAAAAGATCTGAGCAGACATTTCTCAAAAGAAGACATACAAATGGCAAACAGATATATGAAAAGATGCGCAACATCATTGATCATCAGAGAAATGCAATCAAAAGTACAATGACATATTATCTTACTCCAGCTTAAGTGGATTTTATCCTAAAGACAGGCAATAACAAATTTTGGTGAGAATGTGGAGAAAAGGGAACTCCCAAACACTGTTGGGGCAAATGTAAATTAGTACACCCACTATGGAGTACAGCATGGAGGTTCCTCCAAAGACTTAAAATAGACCCATCAGTGTGCTGTATTCAGGAAACCCATCTCACATGCAGAGACACACATAGGCTCAAAATAAAAGGATGGAGGAAGATCTACCAAGCCAATGGAAAACAAAAAAAGGCAGGGGTTGCAATCCTAGTCTCTGATAAAACAGACTTTAAACCAACAAAGATCAAAAGAGACAAAGAAGGCCATTACATAATGGTAAAGGGATCAATTCAACAAGAGGAGCTAACTATCCTAAATATTTATGCACCCAATACAGGAGCACCCAGATTCATAAAGCAAGTCCTCAGTGACCTACAAAGAGACTTAGACTCCCACACATTAATAATGGGAGACTTTAACACCCCACTGTCAACATTAGACAGATCAACGAGACAGAAAGTCAACAAGGATACCCAGGAATTGAACTCAGCTCTGCACCAAGCAGACCTAATAGACATCTACAGAACTCTCCACCCCAAATCAACAGAATATACATTTTTTTCAGCACCACACCACACCTATTCCAAAATTGACCACATAGTTGGAAGTAAAGCTCTCCTCAGCAAATGTAAAAGAACAGAAATTATAAAAAACTATCTCTCAGACCACAGTGCAATCAAACTAGAACTCAGGATTAAGAATCTCACTCAAAGCCGCTCAACTACATGGAAACTGAACAGACTGCTCCTAAATGACTACTGGGTACATAATGAAATGAAGGCAGAAATAAAGATGTTCTTTGAAACCAACGAGAACAAAGACACCACATACCAGAATCTCTGGGACGCATTCAAAGCAGTGTGTAGAGGGAAATTTATAGCACTAAATGCCTACAAGAGAAAGCAGGAAGGATCCAAAATTGACACCCTAACATCACAATTAAAAGAACTAGAAAAGCAAGAGCAAACACATTCAAAAGCTAGCAGAAGGCAAGAAATAACTAAAATCAGAGCAGAACTGAAGGAAATAGAGACACAAAAAACCCTTCAAAAAATCAATGAATCCAGGAGCTGGTTTTTTGAAAGGATCAACAAAATTGATAGACCGCAAGCAAGACTAATAAAGAAAAAAAGAGAGAAGAATCAAATAGACACAATAAAAAATGATAAAGGGGATATCACCACCGATCCCACAGAAATACAAACTACCATCAGAGAATACTACAAACACCTCTACGCAAATAAACTAGAAAATCTAGAAGAAATGGATACATTCCTCGACACATACACTCTCCCAAGACTAAACCAGGAAGAAGTTGAATCTCTGAATAGACCAATAACAGGCTCTGAAATTGTGGCAATAATCAATAGTTTACCAACCAAAAAGAGTCCAGGACCAGATGGATTCACAGCCGAATTCTACCAGAGGTACAAGGAGGAACTGGTACCATTCCTTCTGAAACTATTCCAATCAATAGAAAAAGAGGGAATCCTCCCTAACTCATTTTATGAGGCCAGCATCATTCTGATACCAAAGCCGGGCAGAGACACAACCAAAAAAGAGAATTTTGGACCAATATCCTTGATGAACATTGATGCAAAAATCCTCAATAAAATACTGGCAAACCGAATCCAGCAGCATATCAAAAAGCTTATCCACCATGATCAAGTGGGCTTCATCCCTGGGATGCAAGGCTGGTTCAATATACGCAAATCAATAAATGTAATCCAGCATATAAACAGAGCCAAAGACAAAAACCACATGATTATCTCAATAGATGCAGAAAAAGCCTTTGACAAAATTCAACAACCCTTCATGCTAAAAACTCTCAATAAATTAGGTATTGATGGGACGTATTTCAAAATAATAAGAGCTATCTATGACAAATCCACAGCCAATATCATACTGAATGGGCAAAAACTGGAAGCATTCCCTTTGAAAACTGGCACAAGACAGGGATGCCCTCTCTCACCGCTCCTATTCAACATAGTGTTGGAAGTTCTGGCCAGGGCAATCAGGCAGGAGAAGGAAATAAAGGGTATTCAATTAGGAAAAGAGGAAGTCAAATTGTCCCTGTTTGCAGACGACATGATTGTATATCTAGAAAACCCCATCGTCTCAGCCCAAAATCTCCTTAAGCTGATAAGCAACTTCAGCAAAGTCTCAGGATACAAAATCAATGTACAAAAATCACAAGCATTCTTATACACCAACAACAGACAAACAGAGAGCCAAATCATGGGTGAACTCCCATTCACAATTGCTTCAAAGAGAATAAAATACCTAGGAATCCAACTTACAAGGGATGTGAAGGACCTCTTCAAGGAGAACTACAAACCACTGCTCAAGGAAATAAAAGAGGACACAAACAAATGGAAGAACATTCCATGCTCATGGGTAGGAAGAATCAATATCGTGAAAATGGCCATACTGCCCAAGGTAATTTACAGATTCAATGCCATCCCCATCAAGCTACCAATGACTTTCTTCACAGAATTGGAAAAAACTACTTTAAAGTTCATATAGAACCAAAAAAGAGCCCGCATTGCCAAGTCAATCCTAAGCCAAAAGAACAAAGCTGGAGGCATCACACTACCTGACTTCAAACTATACTACAAGGCTACAGTAACCAAAACAGCATGGTACTGGTACCAAAACAGAGATATAGATCAATGGAACAGAACAGAGCCCTCAGAAATAATGCCGCATATCTACAACTATCTGATCTTTGACAAACCTGAGAAAAACAAGCAATGGGGAAAGTATTCCCTATTTAATCAATGGTGCTGGGAAAACTGGCTAGCCATATGTAGAAAGCTGAAACTGGATCCCTTCCTTACACCTTATACAAAAATCAATTCAAGATGGATTAAAGATTTAAACGTTAGACCTAAAACCATAAAAACCCTAGAAGAAAACCTAGGCATTACCATTCAGGACATAGGCGTGGGCAAGGACTTCATGTCCAAAACACCATGTCTTCTCAAAAGAAGACATTTATGCAGCCAAAAAACACATGAAGAAATGCTCATCATCACTGGCCATCAGAGAAATGCAAATCAAAACCACTATGAGATATCATCTCACACCAGTTAGAATGGCAATCATTAAAAAGTCAGGAAACAACAGGTGCTGGAGAGGATGTGGAGAAATAGGAACACTTTTACACTGTTGGTGGGACTGTAAACTAGTTCAACCATTGTGGAAGTCAGTGTGGCGATTCCTCAGGGATCTAGAACTAGAAATACCATTTGACCCAGCCATCCCATTACTGGGTATATACCCAAAGGACTATAAATCATGCTGCTATAAAGACACATGCACACGTATGTTTATTGCGGCACTATTCACAATAGCAAAGACTTGGAACCAACCCAAATGTCCAACAATGATAGACTGGATTAAGAAAATGTGGCACATATACACCATGGAATACTATGCAGCCATAAAAAATGATGAGTTCATATCCTTTGTAGGGACATGGATGAAATTGGAAACCATCATTCTTAGTAAACTATCGCAAGAACAAAAAACCAAACACCGCATATTCTCACTCATAGGTGGGAATTGAACAATGAGATCACATGGACACAGGAAGGGGAATATCACACTCTGGGGACTGTGGTGGGGTTGGGGGAGGGGGGAGGGATAGCATTGGGAGATATACTTAATGCTAGATGACACATTAGTGGGTGCAGCACACCAGCATGGCACATGTATACATATGTAACTAACCTGCACAATGTGCACATGTACCCTAAAACTTAGAGTATAATAAAAAAAAAACATATCCCAAATTCAAAAAAAAAAAAAAAAAAAAAAAAAGAACTACCATATGATCCATCAATCCCACTGCTAGGTATATACCCAAAAGAAAGGAAATCAATATAAAGAAGAGATGTCTGCACTTCCATGTTCATTATCAAACTACTCACAATAGCCAATATTTGGAAATAACAAAGGACAAATGTTACTTCTCACTTATTTGTGGGAGCTAGAAAAATTAAAACAATTGAACTCATGCAGCTAGAGAGTTTTATGATGGTTACCAGAGACTGGGAAGGGTAGTGGAGTCGGGGTGGGGTGGAGAGTGAAGATGGTTAATGGGAACAAAAATGTGGTTAGATGGAATGAATAAGATCTAGTATTTGATAGCACGATAGGGTGACTACAGTCAACAATAATTTATTATATATTTTGAAATAACTAAATGAGTATAATTGGATAGTTTGTAACACAAAGAAAGGATAAATGCTTGATGCAATAGATACCTAATTTACCATGATGTGATTATCACACATTGTATGACAAGTAATTGTATGGTTTGGAGCAATTTTCTTAGTCTTGATTTCTAATTTTATTGTGTTGTGGTTTAAGAGAGTGGTCGTTATGATCTCAGTTATTTTGCACTTGCCAAAGATTGTTTCATGTCCAATTGTGTGGTCAATTTTAGAGTATGTGCCATGTGGTGGTGAGAAGAATGTATATTCTGTTGCTCTGGGATAGAGTTCTGTAGATATCTGTCAGATTCATTTGATCCAGTGCTGATTTCAGGTTGTGAAAATCTTTGTTGATTTTCTGTCTTGATGATCTGTCTAATCATGTCAGTGGGGTGTTGAAGTCTCCCACTATTATTGTGTGGGAGTCTAAACTTCTTTGAAGGTCTCTAAGAGCTTGGTTTACAAATCAGGGTGCTCCTGTGTTGGGTGCATATATATTTAGAATAGTTGGGTCTTCTTGTTGAATTGAAACCTTTACCATTATGTAATGCCCTTCTTTGTCTTTTTTTGGTCTTTGTTGGTTTAAAGTCTGTTTTCTCTGAAATTAGGACTGCAACCCCTGCTTTTTTCTGTTTTCCATTTTCCTGGTAAATTTTTTTCATCCCTTTATTTTGAGCTTATGGGTGTCACTGCTTGTGAGATGGGTCTCTTAAAGACAGCATAACAGTGAATCTTGGTTTCTCATCCAGCTTGCCACTCTGTCTTTTAAGTGGGACATTTAGCCCATTTACATTCAACATTATTATTAATATGTGTAGATGTGGTCCTGTTACCTTAATTCTAGCTGGTTGTTATGCAGACTTGTTTGTGTGGTTGCTTTATAGTGTCACTGGTCTGTATACATAAGTGTGTTTTTGTAGTGGCTAGTAACAGTCTTTCCTTTCCATATTTAGTGCTTAACTTCAGGAGCTTTTGTGAGGCAGATCTGGTGGTAACAAATTCCTTCAGCATTTGCTTGTGTGAAAAGAATATTATTTCTCCTTCACTTATAAAGTTTAGTTTGGCCAGATATGAAATTCTTGGTTGGAATTTCTTTACCTTAACAATGTTGAATATTGGCCCACAATCCCTTCTGGCTTGTAGGATTTCTGCTGAGACGTCTGCTGGTAGTCTGATGGGCTTCCCTTCATAGGTGACCTGACCTTTCTCTCTAACTGCTTTTAACATTTTTTCCTTCATAGGCTAATACCTAGATGGTGAAATAATCTGTCTAATAATCTCCCATGACATAAATTTACCTATACAACAAACCTGCATATGTAACCCAGAACTTAAAATAAAAGTTTAAAAAATTATTTTAAAATTAGGAAATTTAAAAATATTAAATAAATAAATAATCCAGGCTTCCACCTTAGGTAGCTAGAAATAAAATAACAAATTAAAGCCAAAGTTAGCCAAAGAAAATTAACAATAAAAATTAGAGCAGAACTCAATGAAACTGAAAACAGGAAATCAATGGAGAAAAATCAACAAAATCAAAAGTTGTTACTTTGAAAACATTAGTAAAACTTATAATCCTTTTTCCAGGCTTACAAAGAAAGAAAGAAAAGACACAAGATGCTAATGTCAGAAATGAAAGAGGGGAAATACTATAAACTTTAAAATCCTATGCACATTAAAATGATAATAAAAAATATTATGAATAATTCTACACCCGCAAATTTAATAAACTAGATGAAGTAGACAAAAGCCTTAAAAGAATGACCAAACACTCATAAAAGAAGAAATAGACAATCTGAATAGTTCTATATCTATTCTAGACATTAAACCAATAATTAATAACCTTCCAAAACAGAAAGCAGAATGCTCAAAGAGGTTTACTGAAGAATTCTACCAAACACTTCAGAAGAAATTGTACTATTCTCTACAATCTCTTTCAGAGTATAGAAGCAACAGGACTACTTCCTAACTCATTTTATGAGGCCAGCCTTACCTAATACCAAAACTAAACAAAGATATTGCAGGAAGAGAAAACTACATACCAATATATTTTATGAATGTAGAAATAAAAATTCTGAATAAAATATTAGCAAATTGAATCCAACAATGTATAGAAACAATTATCGTTGTGCACCATATAATGACATTTTAATCAATGATGGATGATATAATATAATGCCACATCTTTACTGCACTTTTCTATGTTTAGATACAAAGATACTTATTGCATTGTGATTTCCTACAGTATCCAGGAAAGTAACATGTTGTATGAGTTTGTAGCCTAGGAACAAGAGTCTATATTATATAGCCTAGGTGTAGTAAGCTGTACCATCTAAGTTTATGTAAGTACACTCTATGATGTTTGTAAAATGATGAAATCTCCTAATGATGCATGTCTTAGAACATGTTCCCATCATTAAGTGATGCATAACCATATATGCCATGACCAAGTGGGTTTTA